>NC_000002.12:116277496-116580527 GCF_000001405.40 Homo sapiens
TCATCTATAAGAATAGATAATTTTACTTCTTCCTTTACAATTTGGCTAAGCCTACTCTTTATTTTTACTACCTAATGGTTTTGACTAGGAGCGCTAGTACAATGATAAATACAAGTGGCAAGAGGGTGCATTTTTTTCTTGTTCTTGGTCTTAAAAAGCTTTTATTATTTTTACCATTGGGTATAACGTTGGCTATGAGCTTTTCATATATAACTTTTATTATTTTGAAGTAATTTTCTTCCATTTCCAGTTTTCTGAGTGTTTTCTTATAAAAGTGTTGAATTTTGAAAAAATATGTTTTCTGTATTAATTGTCGTTTGTGTTCTTTGTTCTGTTAATAGGGTAAATTGCATTTGCTGATTTTCATATACTGAAACATCCTGGCATCTCAATGGTAAATCCCATTTGGACATAATGTATAATGCTTTTAATGTGCTATTAGATTTGGTTTGCTCTTATTCTTGTGTATAACACTTTTAATGTGCTATTAGATTTGGTTTGCGCTTATTCTTTTGAAGCTTTTGCATCAATATTCATCAGGGTTATTAGTCTGGATTTTTAAATAGTATCTTTGTCTGGCTTAAGTATCAGGGTAATGTTGGACTCATACAGTTGATTTAAAAGTGTTCCTTTCTATTCATTTATTTGAAAGGATTTCAGGAGGATTTGTGCCGATTCTTATTTAAATGTTTGGCAAAATTCTCCAGCAAAGCTATTTGGTCCTGATGTTTCTTTTGTTGGATGGTTTGATAATTGATTTAATCTCCTTACTTGTTATTGGTATGTTCAGTTTTTCCATTTCTTTATGATTTACTCAGTAGACTGTATGTTTCTAGGAATTTATTTTTTTTCTAAATTATCCAATTTGTTGGGATATATCATTTGTAGTAGTCTCAAAATAATTTTTATATCTGTGGCATCAGTTGTAATGTCTCCTCTTTCACTTCTGATTTTAACTATCTGGGTCATCTCTTTTCTTTGTCTAGCTAAGTATTTGCAATTTTTATTGAACGTTCAAATAAAACAACTCTTTGCTGTTGTTATTTTTATTTTCCAAGATGAGAAAATAGAGGTTTTTAGTGTACCTCAGCCACTTGGAAATAGCAAAATAGTGTGAAAAGATTAATTATCTAAGCTTTAATCCAAGAAGAAAAATGAGAATCCACCAGAATCATGAAGGGCACCCTAGATCCTGGGGAGGAGAATGCTGGCAAAGAGCCCCTGTTACAGCATCTGGCTGAAATAAATGAACGAAGCTCTAGTACATGAGAGAGGCAGAGAGCCTCCCTCTGTGACTCACCTTTCTACTGGGGATCCAAGCAACCTAGGTTGGGAAAAGAACTTTGTCTAGCCACATTGGCTGCAGCCCACCATCTACTGGCTTTTAGGTCAAACTGTACATCTCTATATAAAACTTGCTGAATGAAGTACTTAAGTATTTGGAAGCAAAGACAAAAGACCCTACCAAACACTGTCTATAATCACAGTCCCTATGGAGAGGAAAAAGGGAAATGAAAAGAAAAAGGATAATATCATAAAGACAGAAAGAAAAACAAATCCTACCCTGATGAAAATAATTACAAGAATTAAAAGTGTTGGCACTCTAGATGAGAGGGAACCAGCACAAGAATTCTGGCACCATAAAAATTCTGAATGTAGTGACACCACCAAGGGATCACATGAGCTTTCCAGGAATAGTCCCTAACCAAAATGGAAAGGCAAAAATGACAGATAAACAATTCAAAGCATGAATTATAAGGAAAATTAATGAGCTTCAAGACATGTTTGAAAATCAAAACACAAAAAAACTTCTAAATGAATCCAGGAAATGAAGAAAGATATAGGCATCTTAAAAATAAATCAATCAGAGCTTCTGGAATTGAAAAACTCACATAAGGAATTTCAAAATGCAATTGAAAGCTTTATAAAGAGACTGGACCAAGCAAAGGAAAAAATTTCTGATCTTTAAGACCAGTTGTTCAAATTAACCTAGGCAGTCAAAACTAAAGAGAAAGGAATTTAAAAATGAAGATAATCTTTGGAAAAATATGGGATTATGTAAAGTGACTAAACCTATGATGCACTGGCATTCCTGAGAGAGAAGGAGAAAGAGTATACAACCTGGAAAACATATTTGAGGGAATAATTCAAGAAAATTTTTCTAGTCTTTCTAGAAAAATAGACATCCAGATACAATGAACCAGATAAAATAACACCTGTGCAATACTGCACAAAATGAATATCACCAAGCCTTTAGTCACCAGACTGTCTAAGGTCAATGAAGAAGAAAAAATCTTAAAGATAGCTAGAGAAAAAAGATTATGTACAAAGGGAACATGATCTGGCTAGCAGCAAACTTTTCAGTAGCAACCTTACAATGTAGGAGAGATTAGGGGCCTATTTTCAGCATTAATAAAGAAAAGAAATTCCAACCATGAATTTCATAGCATACCAAATTAGCTTCAGAAATGGAGAAACAAAGACTTTTCCAAAGAGAAAGCAGTAAGGTAAATTGTTACCACTAGACCAGCCTTACAAGAGATACTTGGGAGTTCTAAACATGGAAACAAAAGAAAGATACCTGCTACTACAGAAACAAACTTAAGTACATAGCCCACAGACGTTATGAAGGAACCAGACAATAGAAACTACAAAGCAAAGAGCTAATAGGTTTATTATACTATCAAAACCTCACATATAAACAAACTTTGACTGTAACTAGCTAAAGTGCCCCCCATTTAAAAGGCACAGTATTGCAAGTGGAATAAAAAAAAACTTAAAGACATGTCAATCTGTTGCCTTTGAGAGACCCATCTCCTATGTAATGACACACCCATAGGCTCCAAGTAAAGGGTTGGAAAAATATCACCACACAAATGGAAAATAAACAACAACAAAAAAGCAAAGTTCACTATTCTTATATCAGATAAAACAGACTTTAAACCAACAAGTGTAAAAATGAACAAAGGACATTACATAATGATAATGGGTTCAATTCAACAAAAGACTTAACTATTCTAAATGCATATGCAGCAACATTGGAGCACCCAGATTCACAAAATAACTACTTTTAAATGTACAAGAAAACAGCCAGAAAATAACAGTGGGGAGTTTAAAAAGAAAAAAAAAACACTGACAATGTTAGACAGATCTCAAGGTGGAAAACTAACAAGGAAATTCTGAATTTAAATTTGTCACTTGACTAATTGGACCTAATAGACATCTACAGAACACTCTGATCATCAATCACATAATATATATTCTTCTGAACATGGTACATACTTCAAGACTAATAACATGCTCAGCAATTAAACAAGTCTCAATAAATCTTTTTAAAAATATATAATAGCAACCATACTCTCAGACCACAGTGGCAGAAAAACAGAAATCAATACCAGGAAGATCTCCCACAACCACAAAATTACATGGATATTAAACAACCTCCTTCTGAATGACTTTTGGGTAAGCAACAAAATGAAGGAAGATATAAAAAAATTCATTCAAATAAATGAAAATAGAGATACAACATACCCAAATCTCTGGGATGCAGCAAAATCAATATTAAAAGTTTATAGTCTACACAACTAACTCTACAAACTAGAAAGATCTTAAATTAATGATCTACCATCACACCTAGATGAACTAGAAAAACAAAAACAAATCAACTCCAAAGCTAGAAGGATAAAAAACTAAAATTTTAGTGGAATTAAACAATATCGAGACCAAAAAATTCAAAAAAGAAACTGATAGAACCAAAAGTTGTTTCTTCCACAGAAAAGACAAGATCAATAAACCCATAGCTTGATTAACAAAGAAAAAAGAAAGATAAGATCCAAATAAGCAAAATCAGGAATGAAAAAAGTGGTATTACAACTAATACTACAGAAATACAAAAAAAAAAATTCAGAGCTAAATATGAATACTTCTATGCACACAAACTAGAAAATGTAGAGGAAATAGAAAAATTCTAGTAACACATAAACTGCCAATATTGAAGTAGGAAGAAATTGGAACCAATTTCAGGAATCAATATTCAGTCCTGAAATTGAATCAGTAATAAAAAACCTACTAACAAACACAAAAAAGACCCAGACTAGATGGATTCCTAGCCAAATTCTTCCAATTCAGCTGGAGAGCTGGTACCAATTAAACTGAAACTATTTGAAAAATTCAAGAAGGAGGGATGCCTCCTTAACTCATTCTGTGAAGTCAACATCAACACAAATGACAAAAATACAATGAAAAGAGAAAACTATAGGCCAAGCCAATGTCCCTGATGAACATGTACACAAAATTCCTAAACAAAATACCAGCCAACTGAATCTAGTAGCACATCAAAAAGTTAATTCGCCAGGATCAAGTAGGCTCATTCCTGGAATACAAAATTGGTTCAACATATACTAATCAATAAATGTGATTCATCCTATAAAAGGAATTAAAAATTAAAACCATAGGATCATTTCAGCAGATGCAGAAAAAGCCTTTGATAAAACCCAACATCCTTACATGATACAAATGACCAATAAAATAGACACTGAAGCAACACACCTCCAAAAAATAAGAGCTATGTACGATGAATCCACATCCAACATCATACTAAATGGACAAAAGCTGGAAACATTCCCCTTGAGAACTGGGAAAGACAAGGATGCCCACTCTCATCACTCCTATAAAACATACTACAGGAAGTCTTTGCCAGAACAATCAGTGAAGAAAATAAAAGGCATCCAAATAGAAAAAGAAGAAATCAAAATATCTCTCTTCATAGATGATATGATTCCCTAGAAAATCCTAAACACTCCATCAAATGACTCCTGCAATTTGAAAATGATTTCAGTAAAGAATCAGGGTACAAAATGAATGTACTAGATTCAGCAGCATTTCTATACACTAATAATGTTGAAACTCTGAGGCAAATTGAGAGGTGAGGCCAGCTGGACTTCCTGGGTCAAGTGGGGACCTGGGGAACTTTCCTGTCTTGGAATAGGATTGTAAAACGTACCAATCAGCGCTCTGTAAAACACACCAATCAGCAGGATTCTAAAGTAGCCAATCACGGGAGGACTGAAAAAAGGGCACTCTGATATGAAAGAAATGAGCAAAGAAATCTCCAAGGGACCAAAAATCCCACCGGGCCATCAGTTATGTCCCCCTCAAGCTGTGGGGGGAGGAGAATTTGGTCCAATCTGTGTACATGTCCTCTTCTCTCTGTCTAATTTAAAGCAGATCAAGGTAGACCTGGGGAAGTTTTCAGATGATCCTAATAGGTATATAGATGTTCTACAGGGTCTAGGGCAAACCTTCAACCTCACTTGGAGAGATGTTATGCTATTGTTAGATGAGCCTACCAAGAGGAACAGGCCAAAAAGGAAAAGCGAGAAAAGAGAAAGGCCACAGCCTTAGTCATAGCCCTCAGACAAACAAACCTTGGTGGTTTGGAGAGGATAGAAAATGGAGCAGGCCAATCACCCAGTAGGGCTTGTTATCAGTGTGGTCTGCAAGGACATCTTAAAAAAGATTGTCCAACGAGAAACAAGCCGCCCCCTTGCTCATGTCCATTATGCCAAGGCAATCACTGGAAGGCCCACTGCCCCAGAGGACAAAGGTTCTCTGGGCCAGAAGCCCCCAACCAAGTGATCCAACAACAGGACTGAGGATGCCCAGGGCAAGCATCAGCTCATGTCATCACCCTCACTGAGGCCCGGGTAAGTTTAACCATTGAGGGCCAGGAAATTGACTTCTTCCTGGACACCGGCGTGGCATTCTCAATGTTAATTTCCTGCCCTAGGTGGCTGTCTTCAAAGTCTGTTACCATCTGAGGAATCCTGGGACAGCCTGCAACTAGGTATTTCTCCCACCTCCTCAGTTGTAATTGGGAGACTTTGCTCTTTTCACATGCATTTCTTGTTATGCCTGAAAGTCCCACACACTTATTGGGGAGGGATCTATTAGCCAAAGCTGGAGCTATCATCTACATGAATATGGGGAACAAGTTACCCATTTGTTGTCCTCTACTTGAGGAGGGAATCATCCCTGAAGTCTGGGCATTGGAAGGATAATTGGAAGGGCAAAAAATGCCCACCCAGTCCAAATCAGGCTAAAAAGACCCCACCACTTTTCTTTTTCAAAGGCAATATCCCTTAAGGCCTGAAGCTCATAAAGGATTACATGATACTGTTAGACATTTAAAAGTTCAAGGCTTAGTAAGAAAATGCAGCAGTTCCTGCAATACCCCAGTTTTAGGAGTACAAAAACCAAATGGTCAGTGGAGACTAGTGCAAGATCTTAGACTCATCAATGAGGGAATAATACCTCTATATATATAGCTGTACCCAACTTGTATACCCTACTCTCTCAAATACCAGAGGAAGCAGAGTGGTTCACTGTTCTGGACCTCAAGGATGCCTTCTTCTGCACTTCCCTGCACTCTGACTCCCAGTTTCTCTTTACCTTTCAGGATCCCACAGACTACGTGTCCCAACTTACATGGACAGTCTTGCCTCAAAGATTTAGGGATAGCCCTCATCTGTTTGGTCAGGCACTGGCCCAAGATCTAGGCCACTTCTCAAGTCCAGGCACTCTGGTCCTTCAAAATGTGGATGATTTACTTTTGGCTGCCAGTTCAGAAGCCTCATACCAGCAGGCTACTGTAGATCTCTTGAACTTCCTAGCTAATCAAGGGTACAAGGCATCTAAATCGAAGGCCCAGATTGGCCTACAACAAGTCAAATATCTAGGCCTAATCTTAGCTAGAGGAACCAGAACCCTCAGCAAAGAATGAATACAACATATATTGGCCTGTCCTCACCCTAAGACATTAAAACAGTTGTGGGGCTTCCTTGGGATCACCGGCTTTTGCCAATGATGGATCACCTGATCCAGTGAGATGGCCAGGCCACTCTATACTCTAATCAAGGAGACCCAGAGGGCAAATACTCATCTAGTTGAATGGGAACCAGATTTTGAAGGGAAACAGCCTTCAAAATCTTAAAGCAGGCCCTAGTACAAGCTCCAGCTTTAAGCCTTCCCACAGGAAAAAATTTCTCTTTATACATCACAGAGAGAATAGGAATAGCTCTTGGAGTCCTTATTCAAACTTGTGGGACAACCCCACAACCAGTGGCATACCTAAGTAAGGAAATTGATGTAGCAGCAAAAGCCTGGCCTCACTGTTTACTGGTAGTTGTGGCGGTGCCCATCTTGGTATCAGAGACTATCAAAATAATACAAGGAAAGGATCTCACCTTCTGGACTAGTCATGATGTAAATGGCATACTAGGTGCCAAAGGAAATTTATGGCTGTCAGACAACTGCTTGCTTAGATACCAGATGCTACCCCTTGAGGGACCAGTGCTTCAAATATGCACGTGTGCAGCCCTCAACCCTGCTACTTTTCTCCCAGGGGGATGGGAAACCAATCAAGCATGACTGCCAACAAATTGTCGCCCAGACTTATGCCACCTGAGAGGATCTCTCAGAAGTCCCCTTAGCTAATCATGACCTTAAGCTATATACTGATGGAAGTACATTTGTTGAGAATGGGATACGAAGGGCAGGTTATGCCATAGTTAGTGATGTAACAGTACTTGAAAGTAAGCCTCTTCCCCTGGGGACCAGTGCCCAATTAGCAGAACTAGTGGCAGTTACCCAAGTCTTAGAACTGGGAAAGGAAAAAAGAATAAATGTGTATACAAACAGTAGGTATGCTTATTTAATCCTGCATGCCCATGCCGCAATATGAAAAGAAAGGGAATTCCTAACTTCTTGGGGAACCCCCATTAAATGCCACAAGGAAATCATGGAGTTATTGCACGCAGTGCAAAAACCCAAGGAGGTGACAGTCTTACACTGCCAAAGCCATCAAAAAGGTGAAGGAGAAAAGGCACTAGGAAACCGTCATGCAGACCCTGAGGCCAAAATTGCTGCCAGATGGAACCTCCCATTAGAAATACCTATAGAAGGATCCTTGGTATGGAACAACCCTCTCAGAGAGATTAAGCCCCAGTATTCCCCGACTGAAACAGAATGGGGACTTTCATGGGGGCATAGTTTTCTCCCCTCCGGGTAGTTAACAACAGAAGAGGGAAGGGTACTCATACCGGAAGCCAGTCAGTGAAAAATACTTAAGACCCCCCATCAAACTTTTCATATGGGTATTGAGAGCACTCATCAAATGGCCAAATCCCTATTTACAGGGCCAAATCTCCTCCGGACATCTGACAAGTAGTCAAAGCCTGTGAGGTGTGCCAAAGGAATAATCCCTTGGTCCATCATAAAGCCCTTCTGGAGGAACAAAGAATAGGGCACTATCCTGGAGAGGACTGGCAGTTAGACTTCATCCGTATGCCAAAGTCAAGGGAATTTCAATACCTGTTGGTCTGTGTTGATACCTTTACAAAGTGGATAGAAGCCTTCCCCTGCAAGACAGAGAAGTCTCAGGAAGTGGCTAAAGTCCTAATTCACGAAATAATTCCTAGATGTGGGCTTCCCCAAAGCTTACAAAATGACAATGGTCTGACTTCAAAAGCCAAGGTAACTCAGGGAATTTCCAAGGTGTTAGGGAAACAATGTCACCTTCACTGAGCCTGGAGGCCACAATCCCCTCAGGGAAGGTTGAGAAGGCAAATGAAACACTCAAGAGGTACTAAAGGAAACTAACACAAGGAATTCATCTCCCATGGCCTACTCTCTTGTCCATGGCCTTGTTGAGAATCCAAAATTCTCCTCACAAAATGGGGTTCAGTCCATATGAAATGCTGTATGGATGACCTTTTCTCACAAATGACCGCCTACTTGATCAGGAAACGGCCAACTTGGTCAAGGATATAACTTCCTTGGCAAAATATCAACAAAACCTTAAAAACCTACCCAAAGGATGTCACAGAGATAAGGGAACAGAGTTGTTCCAACCTGGATATCTAGTGTTGGTCAAGTCCCTCTCCTCTACCTCCCCATCTACGGATTCCTTGTGGGAAGGACCATACTTGGTAATCCTCTTTACCCCAACTGCAGTTAAGGTGGCAGGAGTGGAATCTTGGATTTACCACACCTAAGTTAAGCTTTGGACACCCCCTGAAGAACCTGCAGGACCACCAGCTCAGGAGTCCCAAGATCAGCCAGACCAGCCTCGATACAACTGTAAACCATTGGAGGACTTGTGTCTCCTATTTTGGAAGGAAACATCCCAGACTAAAAAGGCTCCTACAGCTGATCCTGAGGAAAAAAGCCCTTCCTACCTAAAAAAGATAAGCGAAAACCTACATAATATTTAACACCTCTTCTTGCCCCTTTAATGGGATCCTTTTACTGTTTCATCATGTTATTAAGCAGTATACTAACCAGACTTTTTGCAGTAGGACTATATACTGTAGCTCCTGCTGGGACAAAAATCCTAATCACATCAACCTTTTTTCTATCATCCTTCTTTCTGACAGCAATTTACTCCTACCTTTAACTCAGACTGGATAAAATGATCTCATGTTCCAGGGCATGCTCTTTACCTTCCTACTTACTCTTTGCCTATCCATCCCTCCTGCTTCCTTGGATACCCCACATAGTCGTTCCTCCCCTTCCACTAGCTCCTTATTAGCTCTACAAGACTCTCAACTTAACCCACTCTCTGTTAAACCAGTCCAATCCTTCCCTGGCAAACGACTGTTGGTTTTGTATCTCTCTATCAGACACTGATTAATGGTTTTTTTCTCCAATGGGAAAATAGAATACAGGGAGCCACTCAGTTTGCTCCCAACACCCCTTTCCAGCCACTCACTAGAGCTACCTTGGCAAGTACTCTAGGAGTATGGGAAAATGAAAACAGCAAACTCACACACTTTTTTTAACATACACGACAAGTTCTGCTTACCCAGCAAAGGCATATTCTTCTTATGTGGAACTTCAACCTATATCTGTCTCTCCACCAACTGGATAGACACCTGCACCTTAGTCTTCCTAAGTCCCAATACTGACATTTCCCCAGGAAATCAGACCCTATCAGTGCCCCCTCAAAGCTCAAGTCCGTCAGCACAGGGCCATACAACTAATACCCCTACTTATAGGGTTAGGAATGGCCACTGCTACAGGAAACAGAATAGTCAGTTTATCTACTTCATTATCCTACCACCACACACTCTCAACGGATTTCTCAGTTTACAAGAAATAACAAAATCCATCTACTCTACAATCCCAAATAGACTCTTTGACAGCAGTGACTTTCCAAAACCGCTGAAGCCTAGACCTCCTCACTGCTGAGAGAGGAGGACTTTGCACCTTCTTAGGGGAACAGTGTTGTTTTTACACTAACCAGTCAGGGGTAGCACAAGACGTCACCTGGTGTTTACAGGAAAAGGCTTCTGAACTCAGGCAATGCCTTTCAAACTCTTATACCAACCTCTGGAGTTGGGTGACATGGCTTCTCTCCTTTCTAGGTCCCACGACAGCCATCTTGCTACTACTCACCTTCAGGCCCTGTATTTTTAAACTTCTTCTTAAAATTGTTTCCTCCAGGATTGAGGCCATCAAGCTACAGATGGTCTTACAAATGGAACCCCATATGAGCTCAACTCACAACTTCTGCCTAGGAACCCTGGACTGACCTACTGGCCCTTTGGCCTAAAGAGTTCCCCCCTGGAGAACACTACAACTGCAGGGCCACTTCTTCACCCCTATCCAGCAGGAAGTTGTAGGGAGACCCCCTGAAACTATTGCTATGGAATAAAAGATGAAATGCTCCTGATTATTGTAAATACAAAATTGCATGCAGGATTGTGTAAAGACAATGCCAGGTTGGACTGCCAGAATGAGCCAACAGCACGTGATGTGCTTCCCCCTGCAGAGAGCCTATGAATGGACATGCAGTCAGGGATGTTTCACATCACCAAGATTCCTATCCCAGAAAAGCAGATGTTCATAGCTCTGGGAATGGAATGCGACCCTTGTGGAAAGCCTATAAATGGATGCATGGGGGGCGCCTGGCCACATGGATAAGATAGGGCTATAAATGCCCTCATCTTGCCACGGCTCTTCTAGGCCTCTTTAGGGTTAAAGCATACTCCCTTCTGAGAATTTCTGGTCTAACCAGTTGTCTAGCTTCATGTCCTGTTGCCATTGATTGTTTGTAACCAGCTTTTGTTGCAATTGTTACTGCTGATTAATATCTTGCTAATCATAGGTTATGGAAAGACTGTGTTTCTGTTCTAAGGCTCTGTTAGAAATTACTGACGCACACACTATATTGTAAATTTTTATCTCTGTATACTGTACTTCTACATACAAATGTACTGTACTTCTACATACAAATGTTATGTTAAAGAATTACTTCATCCCCATGTGACTATCGCACCTCATAATCAAATGACCCTAAATCCCTCACTAACCTACCCCTGCCCTCACTAAATTTAATAATAAATACTGGTATATCCAGTGCATTGTTGGCACCATGGGACCAGAAGGCAGTGACCCCCCTGGACCCAGCTTTCACTATCTTGTGTGCATCTATTATTTCTCAACCTGCCGATCTGCCTAGGAGCAAAGAGAGAGCCCCATTGCGTTGCGGGCTGCTGGCCAGATCCCACAATAGGAAGTAGCTACAGCGGTCATCGCCCAGTTCCCAACAGCAATTGGGGTGTCCTGTTTAGGCGGTGGATTGAGAGGTGAGGCCAGCTGGACTTCCTGGGTCGAGTGGGGACATGGGGAACTTTCCTGTCTTACAAGAGGACATACAAAACACACAAATCAGCACTCTGTAAAACACACCAATCAGCACTCTGTAAAATACACCAATCAGTGTTCTCTAAAATGCACCAATCAGCAGGATTCTAAAAGTAGGCAATCGCAGGGAGGATTGAAAAAAGGGCACTCTGATATGACAGAAACAGAACATAAGAGGGGACAGTAAGGGAATAAAAGCTGGCCACCCCAGCCAGCAGCGACAACCTGCTTGGGTCCCCTTCCATGCTGTGGAAGCTTTGTCCTTTTGCTCTTCACAATAAACCTTGCTACCACTCACTCATTGGGTCCGTGCCATCTTTAAGAGCTGTAACACTCACCATGAAGGTCTGCAGCTTCATTCTTGAAGTCAGCGAGACCACAAACCCACTGGCAGGAACCAACTCTGGACACAAAATCAAGAATGCAATCCCATATACAAAATCCGTAAAAAAGCAAAATACCTAGAAATACACCTAACCAAGGAGGTGAAAGATCTCTGCAAGGAGAACTCTAAAACACTGCTAAAAGACATCACAGATTACAGAAACAAATGGAAAAATTTTCCACGTTCATCAATTGGAAAAACTAATATCTTGAAAATTGCCACACTGCCCAAAGCAATCTACAAATTCAGCACTGTTTCTATCAAACTATCAATTTTATTTTTTAATAGAATTACAAAAAAAATTCTAAAATTAATATGGGACTATAAAAAGCCCAAATGACAAGAGGAATCCTAAGCAAAGAGAAGAAAGCCAGAGGCATCACATTACCCAACTTCAAACTACACTGTAAGTCTATGGTAACCGAAACAGTATAGTACTGGTATATAAACAGACACATAAACTAACAGAACAGAATAAAGAACCCAGAAAAAAAGGTGCACATCTACAGCCATCTGAGTTTTAGCCTTTGAGCTAAACTCAACAACAACAAAAAAAGCAATGGAGAAAAGACTGCCTATCCAATACGTTGCTCTGGGATGGCAGGCTAGATATATGCAAAAGTATGACACTGGATGTCTACCTTTCACCATATACAAAAATTAAATAAAGATGGATTAAAGATTTAAATGTAAGACCTCAATCTATAAGAATCCTAGAAGAAAATGTAGGAGACACCACTGTGGACATAAGTCTTGAAAAAGAATTAATAACTAAGTCTTCAAAAACTATTGCAACAAAAACAAAAATTGACAAGGGGGATCTAATTAAACTAAAGAGCTTCTGTGCAGCCAAAAAAAACTACCAACAGAGTAAACAGGCCTCTTAGAGAATGGGAGAAAACATTTGCAAACTAAGAATCCAACAAAGGTCTATATCTATAATCTATAAGAAATTCAAATCAACAAGCAAAAATTAAAACGAATATCCCCAATAAAAATAGACAAAAGGCATAACAGATACTTCTCAAAAGAAGACACACAAGTGGCTGACAAACATGAAAATATCCTCTACATCACAAATCATCAGAGAAAGGCAATGCCAAACCACAATCAGATACCACCTCACATCAGTCAGAACGGCTATTATTAAAAACTAAACAAACAAACAAACAAATAAAAAAACAAAAAAGAAAACAGATGTTGATGGAATTGCAGATAAAAGGGAATGCTTATGCACTGCTGGTTACAATACAAATAGTTCAGCCATTATAGAAACTAGTTTGGGAATTTCTCAAACAACTTAAAATCGAACTACCATTTGACCCAGCAATCCAATTACTAGATATATATCCAAAAGAAAATAATTCATTCTACCAAAGAGACACTGCACTGCACTCGCATGTTCATCACAGCACTATTCACAATAGCAAAGACATGGAATCAACCTAGCTGCCCATCAATGGTGGATTGAATAAAGAAAATGTGGCACATATACACCATGAAATACTGGGAAACCATTAAAAAGAACAAAATTATGTTGCTTACAGCAATATAGATGCAACCGGAGGCCATTATTCTAAATGAATGAATTAAGCAACAGAAAACCAAATACCACATGTTCTCACTTATAAGTGGGAGCTAAAGATTGGGCACTCATAGACATAAGATGACAACAACAGACACTGGAAACCACTAAAGTCAGGATGGAGGAAGGGGGACAAGGCTGGTATAACTGTTACTATGCTCACTATCTGGGTGGCAGAATCATTCATTTCCCACACCTCAGCATTGCATAATACACCCATGTAACAAACCTGCACATGTACCCCAGAATCTAAAATAAAAATTGAATTTAAAAAACTTTCATTTTGTTCCATTCTTTCATTTATGTCTACTCTCATATTTGTTTCCCTTCTTCTTCTAACTATGGGTATAGATTGATGTTTTATAGTTTATTGAGGTGTGAAGTAGGTTCTGGATTTGAAATTGTTCTTTTGAAATGTAACCATTTACTATAACACACTTCCCTTCTTAGTACTACTTATTTCTTAAACTCATAAGTTTTGGTTTATTGTGTTTTTGTTTTTATTTCTCTGAAGATATTTTCTAATTTACTTGTGTTGTTTTTTTTTCTTTGATTCATTGGTTATTTAAGAGGGCATTGTTTAACTTTCAAATACCTGTAAATTTCTACTTTTCCTACTGCAATTGAATTCTAGTTTGGTTCCACTGGGGTCAGATTAGATACTTACTCAAAATTCTTAAATTTGTTAATAACAGATGTGTTTGGTGGTCTGACATGGTCCATTTCTGAGAATGTTTCATGTATACTTGAGAAGAATGTATATTCTGATACTGTTGGGTGGAGGGCTTTGTATATGTCTGTTGGTTCCATTTTGTCTATATTGTTCCCATCTTCCATTTCTTTATTGGTCTTCTATCTGGTTGTTCTAGCCATTATTGAAAGTGAGATACTGAATTATCCTACTATTACTATGTTACTATCTCTTCCATTTCTATATTCTGTCAATATATGCTTCTTATATTTCAGTTGCTTGGATTGTAGGTGTAGATACATTTATAACTGTTATATTTCCTGGTGTATTTATTCTTTTCTGATTATAAAAGGTCACTCTTTGTCCCTTGTGATTGTTTTTTAACTGAAGTTTATTTTTATATTATAAGAATAACCATCCCTGCTCTCTTTTGGTTATGATTTGCAGGAAATTTTCCCCCATTCTTTCACTTTCAGTCTCCATGTGTTATTATGTTTAAGATGAGTCTCTTATAGAAAGAATGCATCTTCTTTTAAAATTCATTCAGCCACTCTGTTTCTTTTGATGGAAGAGTTTAATTGATATACATTCCAAGTAATTACTAATTTTAAGAAATAACTTACTACTGCATTTTTTTGACATTTTTTCCTTTTGCTCTTATTTGGTTCTCCAGCTGCCTTTCTTTGTGCTATATTGATTTTTTTGTGTTGTCATGTTTTGATTTATCATTTCTTTTTGTGTATCATCTATAGATATTGTCTTTGGGTCTACCATGGAGATTACATAAAACATCTTAAAGATATAACTATTTTGAGCAGAAAAAAATCTTCAATCATACACAAAAAATATTCCTTTTCATGTATCTTCATTCCCATTTTATTTTATTGATACCATAAATTATACCTATATATGTAGTACTTCTAATAACATATTTAGAGTAAGTTGTTTTTATGCCTTTGTCTTTCAAATTCTATATAAAAATTAAAGATGTTTTATGCACCACTATGGCAATAATACAGTATTCTGTATTTCTCTACATGTTTACCTGTAGTGAGCTTTATATTTTCATGAGATTTTATGTTGCTGTCTAGTTCCCCTTTGCTTCAAATTGTAAAGACTGCCATTAGCATTTTTTATAATAAAAGTGCAGTGGTGATGAAATCTCTCAGGTTTTGTTTACCTAAGAAAGTATTCATTTTCCCCTTTTTTCTGAATAACAGTTCTGCTGGATATACTATTTTCAGTAGAAAATTTATTTTTTCTTTCAGCATTTTGAATATTTCATTTCCTCTAGCCTGAAATTATTCTGCTGAGATACCTGCTGATACTTATATAGAAGCTCTCTTTTACGTTATGAGTCACTTTTCTCTTGCTACTTTCAAATCTATTTGTCTTTTGACTTTTGTGAATTTGATTGTAATGTTTCTAGGTATGAATCTCTATTTATTCTATTTATAATCCTTTAAGAATTTTGAATTTGAATGCACATTTCTTTCTGAATTTTCTGATCATTATTTCTTCAAATAACCATTCGGTTCTTTTCACTTTTCTTCTGAAATTTTCATAATGGATATATTGGTTGGCTTGACAGTCAAAAATTCTTTAGGCTTTCTTTACTTTATTGTTTTTATTCTCTGACTTAATAATTTTAGATGAATTATCTTCAAGTTCACTGATTTCTGCCAAGCTGCTTTTGAATCCTTCTAGTAAAGTTTTCAATTCACTTATTGTATTCTTCAACTTCAGAATTTGTTTCTTTTGCATATATTCTATTTCTTTGTCAATGATCTTATTTTGTTTTTAAATTATTTTCCTGATTTTAATTGCTCATCTGTATTCTCTTATAGATTATGGATTTTTTAAAATGATAAATATTTTGAATTATTTGCCAGGTAATTCAGAGATCTCCATTTTTGGGGGTTTAGTTCTCAGAGACTTAGGCTGTTGCTGTTTTTTTTGCTAAGCTGTGTTTCTCTGGTTTGATTGTTGTTGTTTTGTCTCATTTGTCTTGTACTTTTGGTCACTTAGACTTATGCATTAGAAAAATATATTCTTCTGCAAGTTCTTATGGACTGGCTTCATACTTGGTAATATCTTCAACAGACAATCTGGCTAGAGATTCTGGGGACCAGAAAACCTTTTCGTGGGGGTTGTAACTTCTCCAAGCCTGTGCATGTAACCCCAATTACAGGGAGTTGCTGGTTTTCTTTTCAGGAGCTGGTAATCTCTGGTTATTTCTGGTGTTTGCCCGCAGTACTGCAGGTTCTGTGGTGCTGCAGCAACAAGTCTTCCTGTACTCTTTTATTCTCAGTGGTCCAGGGCATCCAAAGTATCCTGGCTCCTTGTCAGTTCTCTATGTCAGGCAAGACAGAAACCAGTTCTTTAGACAGCCTTTTGGAAAATCAGAAGGCCAGACACATATTTGATTATTTTCTCTCCCTCCTGAGGGAGAGACCCCAAATTGGGCACACCCTCCCAATTGTGCTGAGTTATACTAGCCTGTTTATAAAAGCACTGCAATTTCTTTCTTTTTTTTTTTATTTTTGAGACGAAGTCTCACTCTGTTGCCCAGGCTGGAGTGCAGTAGCGCGATCTCGGCTCACTGCAAGCTCCGCCTCCCGGGTTCACGCCATTCTCCTGCCTCAGCCTCCCGAGTAGCTGGGATTACAGGCGCCCGCCACCTCGCCCGGCTAATTTTTTGTATTTTTAGTCGAGACGGGGTTTCACCGTGTTAGCCAGGATGGTCCCGAACGCACTGCCATTTCTTTGGTGCTGCACTATGCCACCCCCACTCTCCCTTGTTTTCAGTGTTCCCAGCCACCCAAACTCTCAAGACTCCATCGATTTTCTGAGTCAGGTAAGGCAGAACTGATACGAGGTCAGCCCTCCAAAAAGCCAGAATACACCTTAACAAATTTCTTTTCCCTCCCCTGTGAAGAAGCTGTATGCTGGGCTTCTCTCCTGATGAAATTCAGCCATGCCAGTTTGGGGGTGGGGTAATTGCAGGTAAACCAAAATGTCTCTTTTTACCTATTTCAATGTGGCCGTTTGTAGCTTTGCACTAAATTTTGGGTACTGCAACTTATTAATTGGGTTTCAGTGTTCTCAAAAGGTATTTTGGTTCATATGTTATTTTTATGCTGGTGTCTCTGTAGGGAAATGAGGGCTGGCATTGGCTAATATCTTATTTACATATACGATTTCAGCAACATTTATACTAATATAGAAATATTTAATATTTTAGTGCTTAATTTGTCACCTGATAGTCACAAAAAAAGAAAACATGCATATAAAAATAATATAAATGAATTCATTCTAAATTTGAACATTTCCTGCTTATAAACGTGGTTCTGCAAAGATTTCACAGGTGTACTCTGGCTTAGCAGAGGAGAGGTAATTATGAGTGGAGCTTATTTCCCCCTAAGGTCCCTGCACATCTGCTTATATGCTTAGAAAATGTCACTGTAAAAATAACCAAAAGATACAAATTTTGGATTTCATCTTTAACAGATAATGGGAGGTTTGTGAGATGTCTTGAGGATGCTTTCAAAACTCTAGGAGATTTGGGAATTCATGGTAAGCACCAAAATTGCCTTCTTATATTTGTGACCATGACTTTTCAGTCAAATATTTAGAGTTTCATATTCCTTTTAGATTAGCATATAAAATAGTTACCTATCTGGATGCAAAAAAGCTGTAAGAAGTTTTGAAACTAGAATTGAATTCACAGTTTTTCACTTTTTATATATAGATGTACATATATTTTATTGAAATATGTAGAAAAATTGTATAATTAACACACCAGACCTAACATATTAGCGATAAGCAACCTATTAAAAATAGTCCTGAAAAATTGGACACACCTATTGCTAGATTGGAGAATAAGGGGTTAGGGAGTTACATTAGACTGGGTTTGGCTCCTGATTATATCTTTTACTCACTGTGTGACTTTAGTGAATTACTTCCACTGTTCTTAGCCTCAGTTGCTACATAATCAAAACAAGAATTATAATCTTTAACTCACATTATGAGAGTTAAATAAGATAAAATGTTCTTTGTAAGACATCAATTGGAATGTTCTATAAAGTTTTAGCCGCTGAAATGACAAAACATGTTTCATGAACTCATTGTTCAAAACAAAACTAACTGTTCTTATGAAATGTTTCTCAGAGCCTATAGAAAAAAATGAGAATGATTTTCTATGGTACAAAAAATAAAACTGATTTATTTCTTAAAATCCCAAATATCTTCTGAATGTTATCTAAAAGGTAACCTGAGAATTTTCTTAAAACATTTATATTATCTTATTTTATGAAGATACTGGAACTTTCAAGTTCCAAAGTAGCAGCATATATGCAAATTGGCTTTATTCCCCACCACAGATCATCAAAAACAAATACACAGCACTAATATTATCACCAGTAATATACCAAATCTGAAATATGAGGATGAGACAGTTGCCACAGCCACAGTGAGGTGAAGTCTCCAAAGAGATGGTAAAATAATTGGATTTTCATATTTGTGGTATCAAGCCTCTAATCTGCCTGGCATCAAGTGTGCAAGTATTTTCCCCTGACTCACAATTTCTACACTGCAAAAAGTAAAACTCTTGTGACAACCAGCTTTCCAACCATCTTAGTTCCCTGGCAGGAAATCTTTTTCTGCCAGGCAGAGAATGTGATTACTATCCCCAGCCCTAGAAACTTTGCTCTATAAATAGGTAAAAGGACACACCAAATCAGATAGGCTTTTCAGCAGCACTGTGCTACAGAAGGTACATTCCTTTGTTCCCCTGGGCATGAACAATTAGCCAGCCTTCCCACACTACTGGGATATCTCCCTAGGGACTTCCACCATTTGAAACAGGCAGTACTCTGATCCATTACTAGAGCCAAGGCAAACCTGGGTGAAACATACATCTAGTGTCAAAAAGGAGACAGAGACCCAGCAGGAAGTAAAAGAAAGAAACTCAACTGGTAAATTGCAAAGACTCTCTAAGCAAACATATCCAAGTAAAAACCAAAATAAACCAGACAAAAAGACCTCCTCAAGTTAACAAAGCAAGGAGCCAGTGACTGACCCTAATAAGATTGTGATATGTGAGCGCTATGATCAAATATTCAAAGTAGCAATTTTAAGGAAACTCAGTGATCTCCAAGATACCACAGAAAAGCAATTCATGCATTTATCAGAGAAATTCAGCAAGGATATTAAAATAATTTTAAGATATCAAGCAGAATTCTTAGAACTCTTAGAAGAATACAATTGCTAAACTGACAAATATATTAAAAGCCTGCAATATCAAAATGAATTAAGAAGAAAGAATCAGTGAGCTCAAAATTAGGATATCTGAAAGCACAAAGAGGAAAACAATGACAAAAGAATAAAAAGGGGAACAGTAGAAAGATTGCCTATAGAATATAGAAAAATACCTCAAAAAGGTCAGAACTAAGGATAATTGATACTCAAGAGGGAATTTAGCAAGAGGAAGGAAAAGAAAGCTTATTCAAATAAATAATAACAAAACCTTTCCAAAACTTGAGGATGATATAAATATCCAGATACAAGAAGATCAGAGAATACTAAACAGATTCATCCTACATAAGACTACTCCAAGGCAGATCTCTTGGACTAATAATCAAACTCTTCAAAGTCAAGGACAAAGAAAGGATCTCAAAGGTAGCAAGATAAAAGAAGCAAATAACCTATAAAAGAGCTCCAATTCATGTGGCAACAGACATGTCAGTGGAAACCATACAGAGAATGGGAAAACATTTTCAAAGTACTGAGAGAGAAAACAAAACAAAACACTACCATTCAAAAATACTGTATTGAGCAAAGCCAGTCTTCAAATATAAAGGAGGGAGAAAATCTTTCACAGACAAATAGTTGAGAGAATTTATCACCAGCAGACCCACCTTCCAAGAAATACTAAAGAGTGTGCTTCAATCCGAAAGACAAAAAAAAAACAAACACTAATGTGCAAAAAGATAACATTTAGAGGTATAAAACCCACAGAAAAAATTAACTAAATAGACCACCTTATAATACTCTGATGCTGTATTTTGTGAGATGCAATCCACTACCATCTCTAGTATGAAGCCTAAAAGACAAATATATCAAAAACAAAAATAGAGAAACCTGTTCAGAGATAGACATTATTAAAATATGTAAATTGAGACAACAAAAAGTCAAAATGTTGGGGGGGGATGGAGTCAAAATGTAGATAGTTTTAAACATTTTTTTGCTTTTTTTATGATATAAGTTGTCATCTCTTTAAAATGATTTATTACATCTATAATAGGTTTTTGTAAACCTCATGGTAGCCAAAATGCAGAAACCTGTAATAGGTATGTTAAAAATAAAAAGCAATGAATTAAAACATACTACAAGAGAAAATCACTTAACGATAGAGACAATAAAAAATGAAAACAGGGAAAAAAAGGAATTTCAAATGAAGTATAAAACAACCAAAAAATGGCAGTAAGTCCTTGTTTATTACCACTAACATCATTGAATGTAAATGAACTTAACTTTCCAGTTATAGAAAAAAGAGTGGCTGATTGAATAAAGAAACAAGAACCAACTACGCTGTCTACTAGAAATCCATTTCACCTGTAAAGACACACATAGACTGCAAGTGAAGGGATGGAAAGAAAAAGATATTCCATTCTAGTGGATACTAAAAAATAGGGGTAGCTATGCTTAGATAAAACAGACCAGAAGTCAAAGACTGTAAAAGAAAAATGTCACTACATAATGATAAATATTTCAATTCAGCAAGAAGATATATCCAATATAAATACTAATGCAAACAACACTGAAACACACAAGTATATAAAACAAACATTAATTAATCTGAAGGAAGATACAGACTGCAATTTAATAATCATTGAAAACTTCAACACCCCATTTACAGTAATGGACAGATCACTAAAACAGAAAATCAACAAGGAAACATCGCAGTTAAACTACACACTAAATCAAATAGGAATAACTGAAATTTACAGGACATTTCACCCAATGGCAACAGAATACACATTCTTTTTATCAACACATGGAAAATTTTCACAACGGGCTATATCTTAGGCCACAAAACAAATGTCAATAAATTCAAAAAAATAGAAATTATATTAAGTATTTCTTCCGAACACTGTAATACAAGTAGAAATACATAATAAGAGAAAACTAAAAAACTACACAAACACATCAAAATTAAACAACATGCTCCTGAATGACCAATGGGTCAATGAATAAATGAAGAAGGCAAATTTGAAAATTTCTTAAAAGACAACAAACAAAATCTGAGATACAGCAAAAGTAGTACTAGGCATGAGGTTTATAGCAATAAATACTTGCATAAAAAATAGAAAGACTTTAAATAAACAACCTAATGATACACCTCAAGGAAATAGAAAATCAGGAACAAACCAAATCCAAAATTAGTGGAAAGAAAGAAAAAATTAAGATCCGATCATAAATGAATGAAATTGAGATGAAAAAAATACAGAAAACCATATAAATGAAAAGGCTTTTTCTTGATAAGTAAAATCAGCAAAACTTAACTAGGAAAACAGAGGAGACCCAAATAGAATCAGAAGTGATAACGATGACATAAAACTGAGACTACAGAAATAAAATAAAAAAAATTAGAGACTATTGGGAACAACTTTATGCCAACAAATTGGAAAACTTAGAAGAAATTCATAAATTCTTGGACACATACCACCTACCAAGATTGAACTATGAAGAAATAAAAAAACTTCTGTAAACCAATAAAGAGCAACAAAATTGAAGCTATAATAAAATGTCCCCCATCAAAGAGAAGCCCAGGACCTGATGGCTTCAATGCTGAATTCTACCAAACATTTAATAAGAATACCAATTCTACTCAAACTCTTCAAAAAAAAAAAAAAAAAATGACAGGGAGATACTACTTCCAAATTCATTCTACAAAGCCAGCACTATTTTGATGACTAATACCAAACTAGGACACAACAACAACAAATAAAAATAAATAAATAAACTACAGGCCAATATCACTGATTAACATAGATATAAAAATCCTCAACAAAAAAAATACAAGGAAACTCAATTTAACAACACATTAGAAAGATTATTCACCATGATTAAGTGGGATTCATCCTAGGGATGCAAGGATGGTTCAATAAATCAATAATTGCACTATTATTGATTGCAATGCAATAAACATGATAAAACATTTTAACAGAACCAAGAACAAAACAATACTATCATTTCAAATATATGCCAAAAATAATTTTATAAAATCCAATATCATTTTAGGATTAAAAAAAACACTCAACAAACTGGGTATAGAAGGAAAGTATCTCAAAATAATAAAAGCTGTATGTGACAAAGCCACAGCCAGTGTCCTGCTGAACAGGGAAAAACTGAAAGCCTTTTCTCTAAGATCTGGAACAAGAAAAATTTACTTTCACCACTTTTATTCAACATAATACTGGAATTCCTCACCAGAACAATCATACAACAGAAATAAAGAACACTGAAATTGGAATGGAAGAAGTCAAATTAAGATTTTTGTCTGATATAATCTTATAAGAACCTAAAGAGTCCACCAAAAAACTGTTGGAACTGCTCATTTCAATAAAATTACAGGATACAAAAATCAGTAGCATTTATATACTCCAAGAGCAAACAGTCTGAAAGGAAATCAAGAAAGCATTCCTGATTACAATAGCTACAAATAATATAAAATACCTAGGATTCAATTTAACCAAAGATGTGGGCTGGGCGTGGTTGCTCACACTGGTAATCCCAGCACTTTGGGAGGCCGAGGCAGGCAGATCATGAGGTCAGGAGTTCAAGAGCAGTCTGGCCAACATGGTGAAACCCCGTCTCTACTAAAAATACAAAAATTGGCTGGGCATGGTGGTGCGTGCTTGTAATCCCAGCTACTCGGGAGGCTGAGGCAGGAGAATCACTTGAACCAGGACCTGGGAGGTGGAGGTTGCAGTGAGCCAACATCGCGCCACTGCACTCCAGCCTGGGCTACAGAGCGAGATTCCATCTCAAAAAAAAATATATATATATATGCGAAAGAATTATACTATACAAAACTAATACTATAAAACAATAATGAAATAAATTGAAGAGGCAACAAGAAATGGTGGTTTATGCTAATTATTGGAAAAATTAATAATGTTAAAATGAAAATATTATTCAAAGCAATTTACATATTCAATGACATCTCTATCAAAATACCAATGACATTCTTCCGGGAAATAGGAAAAAAAAATGCCTAACACTTACGTGGATCCACAAAAGACTTCGAATAGCCAAAGCAATCCTGAACATAAGGGACAAAAGCAGAAGTGTTACAATACCTGATTTCAAAATATCTCACAAGGCTATAGTAACAAAATCAGCATGCTACTGGGGTAAAAACAGAAACATAGAGCACTGGAACGTAATAGAGAACCCAGATATAAATCCACACAGTTACAGCCAATTCAGTTTTGACAAAGGCACCAAGAACATACAATGGGGAACAACAGCCTTTTAAATAAATACTGGTAGGGAAACTTGATAACCATATGCAGAAGAATGAAACTATATCCCTCTTCTCACCATATACAAAAATAAAATCAAAACAGATTAAACATTTAAATCTAAGGCCTGAAATTATGAAATTAATACAAGAAAGCTAAAGGCAACAAAAGAAAAAAATAGACAAATGAGATTACATCAAAAGAAAAAGTTTCTGCACAGCTAAATATATAAAGTAAAGAGACAACCTACAGAATAAAATAACCTATTTGCAAACTCTCCATCAAGGGATTAATAACCAGAATATAAAAGGAGCTCAAACAACTCAATAGCAAAAAACACCAAATAATTTTATTTAAACATGAGCTAAAGTCTAAAAAGACATTTCTCAAAATAAGACATACAAATGGCCAATAGGTATATGAAAAAATGCTCAACATCATTAATCATCAGATGAATCCAAATCAAAACCACAATGAGATATTATCTCACCCTAGTGAATATGGCTTTTATTGAAAAGACAGGGAATAATAAATGCTGGTGAGGATGTGGAGGAAAGGAACTCTTGTACTCTCTTGGTGGGAGTGAAAATTAGTACAGTCACTATAGGAAACATTATTGAAGTGACTTTATTTTTTTGAGGTATGTTCCTTCTATACACAGTTTATTGAGGGTTTTTTATTGTAACTTTCATATGATCTAGCAATTCTACTACTGGGCATATATCCAAAAAAGGAAATTAATATATCAAAGAGCTGTCTACACTCCCCTGTGTTTTGCAGAACTATTAATAAGACAAACTATGGAATCAACTTAAGTGCCCATCAATGGTTAAACAGATGAAGAAAATTGATATATACTACACAATGATATATAATTCAACATAAAAATAATAAAATCCTGTCATTTACAGCAACATGAATAGAACTGAAATTAGGTAAAATAAGCCAAGCAAAGAAAAATATTGCATGTCCTCATCCATAAGTGGGAGGTAAAATGGTGGAGCCCATGAAGGTAGCAGATTTGTAGTTACCAGAGGCCAAAAGAGG
The DNA here is from genome assembly GCF_000001405.40 of Homo sapiens. NCBI lineage: Eukaryota > Metazoa > Chordata > Mammalia > Primates > Hominidae > Homo > Homo sapiens. Next base: position 116,302,441 of record NC_000002.12, read on the forward strand.
TAGGCAAAGATGAAGGGCGTTTGATTAATGGGTGCAAATATACAGTTAGAAGATATAAGACCCAGTATTCAATAGTTCAGTAGGGCGACTATAGTTAGCATTAATCTACTGTATTTTTCAAAATAGCTAGAAGAGACTAATTTAAGTGTTCCTAGCATAAACAGAAATATTTAAGGTGATGAATATCCTGATTAAGCTAATTTGATCATTACACATTATGTGAATGTATCAAATTACCCTCAAAATATGTGCATCTGTTATGTATCAGTTAAAATTTTAAAAATTGCACTCCAGTCTGGGTGAAAGAACGAGACTCTATCTAAAAAATAATGCATAATAAAAATTGAAATAAAAAATTTAAAAATATGAAGATGCTGTTAAGAGCAAAATACTATTTGAAGCTATCAAATATTGCTTAAAAATCCTTTCATTCCTAAGTGTCATACTACCTTAGTTATTTTAGACCACTCTTTCTTACGCTGGATTTCTCTGCAACCTTCATGACTGTCTGAAATATTTTTAGTGTCCATGGATAATCCATATGTTTAATTGTATACTGTTATACTAAAATGGAATATTAATAAAAGCATAATGCAATTATTAGGCTATCACCTATATTGATAAGCACTTCTAGGCAATTTCCAATATTGGTATTTACACTTATATTTCAGGTTATATTGATGCATAAAGTATTACTTCATCACTGACTAATAAAAATAAATAGAGACAGATTTAATGTAGATATAATATACTTAAGTTGGTTTAATGCAAAACAACATGTAGGCGCACTGTAAAAATATTTAACTATAGGATTGTAGGGAGAAAAATAGTGGGAAAATTGAACTGTAACTTGGTGGCCAATGATTGTTCAGGAATGCCAAACACAACAAAATCTGAATATCAGCAGTCAATTTGATGTTCTTGTATGTATTTATAAAATATTTTATGGAGCTCCTTTTAGGCAGAAATTTCAGTACCATCAGTTATATTGAATTATCCTTTGTGATTTAAAATTTAAGAATTTTACTTGTATTTTTAGTTGTATAAAGGTTATAATGAGAAGTTTACATTTGTATGTTCAACTAATATAAAAATAATTCAAGGCAATATTTGTTTTATTTCCCTTAAAAGTGTTCTGAACTTATGCAAATCAAATAAACACTGATAGAGTACATGGTGCTTCAAAGGTATGGTTCAGTTTCTGAGTAACCCAGAGGCCTGCTCACTCCAGAGACATAGTCTACATCTCAACTCTTTGTAGGCCAAGGTATGCATAAAGGTTGATCAAGAGAACAAGACTGATGACTCATGAAATACATTTACTGAAGCAATATTCCATGTTGCCATGCAAATATTATTATTGCCATTTTACTGAGGTGGGAATGGAGACTGAGAGGAATTCAGAGTAATGGACATTACACAGACAGTACAAAATATGGGCTCCAGAGCTGGAATTCAAATCATTGTTTCTCTGATTCCAAGGTTCTCTAATATTAAATGCCCACAAATAAGAAACAGAAAATAAATAGTAAAATATTACCCACCATATCTGAAGTTTTTTATTAGAAAGTTCATTGAATAAACATCCAAATTTATTTTCTGAGAGACAACATAGGCTAACATGCATTAATATGGACATATTATTAAAAAGGGGAAATTAAAAGTCATCTATTTTTCCACAAGGAATGATATGGAAAATGTCTATTCATATTATCATTGCTACTAAAGCAGTTTTTACTACTGAATTTTTGTTTTTACATCAAAATTAATGACTCAGAGAGAATAACGGGCCCTAAAGATGACGACTTTATTCTATATCTTTATAATACCATTATATTATTGACGTAACCACCTAGAGAAGTTCATGGTTTCAATATTTGGAATCCATTCTGCTTTCTAACACAGTAAAATGTCTTGTTTCTTAGCCAGCTAAGTTTCTTAGCAAGGCCTAAGATTTGCTTCATTATCTAGCTCCTAATACTCTTCATAGTTTTGTCTCCTAACACTTCCCCTGAATGCCATATAGACTGGCCATGCCTTCCTTGTTACTATTCCCGGAAGACAGCATTCACTTTCACATCCCCACTTCACTGCCTGTGCTGTTTCCTTTGCCAGGAACCATTCTTCTCTCACTTCATTCTTGATGAGTGGTTACTCTTCCTCCAGGGCTCTGCTCAATTTTAAATCTTTCTGGAAGCTGATTGGACTAATCCCATACCTTACATACTCATTAGAATAGCTCACAACTTTTGCCTCAGGCTTCAAATCACACCAAATATTAGGCTCTATAAGCAGTTACTTCAATGTGACTTTTACAATTACTTCTTTTCTAAACACTTATCTACGGCAAGAAATAAGTCTTTATCACCTTTATGGCTCTAGAACCCAGTTGAATAACATTATAGGTCTTAAATAAACCAATATAAATGGATGGATGCAGCTTTTGTGAAATAACTATAATCAAGTCATCAATAAAGAAGACAAATTATAAATGTCTTGCTTTTAAGACAAGAAATAAATTTTGATTAAAAAACATCAATTTATAGATGGAGCACATTCCAAGGGAATGAAATTGTATCTTAAAAACAAGAAAGCAGAAGTGATATCCTAAACAAGGAATTGCAACTGGAATTTTGTCTATGTGGTGCTAACTGATATAAAGATTTATACTTCTTTCCTTTTAAAATACTGTCATTATAAAATTAATATATATTAGAAAATGTAAAATTAAGATTAAATCAAATAATTTATACTCACACTACATAGGATGTCTAATGTTAACTTTGTGGTGAATCTCTATGTTCACACACCTGTCAGTGTGCTTTTTAAATACATAATTTATTAACTACTTAATATATTCCATGGCAGACCTTCAGAAATTCAATGGAGAAAACAATTAGACAAGGTCTCTGTCTTTGTGAAACTAAGTTAATGAAGGCATTAATCAAACAATCTAAAAATATATTTATAATTATAAATAATGTAATGTGTCATAAGGGAAAAATAAATAGTATTATGTGAGTGTATATAATGGGCTCATGACTAAGAGTTAAGGGAAATTTTCATTGGGACAACAATACGTAACTTGAAATCTGAATATTAAAATGTTACTATTTAAATAATAAGGAGCTATATTTGACAAAATAAACATCTGGTCATATCACTAGATGATAAAATCCTCCAGTGGATTTTATCACAATACAAATGAGAGACCACTGGAGGGTATTGTAGATAGAATACGTTGAACAGATATAGCATAGGTCATTTTATTTTTGTGAAAATAAGCCACAATACCTTATTTGCAAAGTAACTTACATTTAATTTATATGAAGAAGGGCAAAAATGTCATGCCTCAGAGGCAAAATATGTAATATTGGGAAAAGGAAGGAAGGCTCATGTGTTCATTTAGCTTTCTAGCCCCAAAATCGTTATCACTCCTTCTAAAGGATGCTCACATTACAATTGGCCAAAACCAGTTTGCAATATTTTAATGAAAGTCTCTTCAAACATAAATCCAAGCTTAAAAATGATTGGTAAATCTTTATAGAATAATTTGCCCCTTATATGCCACTTCTTTCTTTATATAAAAAATTTCTATTGGGCATTTCACGTGATGCTTATAGATTTGTATTTGTACTAATTGTACTGGATAATCAGAAAATATAGTTTCTGATTATAGAAATAGTTATAATTATTTTTTCAGAAACACATTTTTTGGGGAGGAAAGCCACTTTTTTGTTTTTTTTTACCTTGGGTCTAACAAGTTTGAAATTCAACATAGCCCTCTCTGATTCTGATAGAGTAACAAGAAAGACAGACAAAAATGTAAAAATCTCTGCAATTTATATTCTACATTTCGGTGCTGCAGTAATGTATTAGGTTGTTCTATTTGTGTATGGAAACAAATGAACAAAAAATAGTGAATAAGGGGAACAGAGTGATTTTGTGAAATATAAAAATGTATATTTATTTTTGTTTCAAGCACGGTTCTGCAGTGCTTGTCATACATCTCCAACCAAATGCAGAAAGAGAAGTTTTTCATTACTTATGTGATGGGAATGATTCAGTCAAGCTTAGGACACATAGGATTCAAATTATAAACACTAATGAATACTCTGGAGTTTGGAATTCTCAATAGAGACATGTCTGAGTATTAAGCCCAACATTCTAAAAGAAGACAGAAATAGTTTTTTTTAATTCTATTTCTGCTACTTGTTCACTGTGTGGATTCAGACAATTACCTAACCTCTCTGATCTGCAAAATGAGAATAACAACATGTAATTGACAGGATTATGTTTGGACATAGATAAGATATTGCAGGTAAAATTCTTGGCATAAAGAGGCTTGGGAGAATTCCATCTTAGGCAATAGAATATAAATCAAAAGATAACACAAGTTTACCAAAGCTAGCATTTATATAAGTATTATTTCCATATTTTTATAGCTAAAATGTGTCTGTATGTATACATATAACATATATGTGTACATATATACACACATAACATATATATACACACATATAAGAATTCTAGGCTGTCTTAGTAATGGCACTCAGAAAACACTGAAATCACAGATTTAATTTAAAGAAGTTTTGGGGTAAAAGGTATTTAGGTGTCAGTATTACAGATGCTTCAACAGATGGACAATAATATCCAAAAACATCTACCAAACAGAAATTCTTATATGGCCTAGAGGAACGAATCTTGATGGTCTGACAGGGATAGATGAAATATTTTAATGTTTCTATTTTTAAGCTTAGAAAATTTATGGCTTTGATAATTGTATACTGCCTTTTATTCCTTCACTTCATTCCTTCCATTCATTTGGATTCTCACTGTCATTTAGCTTCATCTGAATTCCTCACAAGTTAGAATTACTTTTCCCACTTCCATTGATTGACTTACTGAACACCTTTTTGCCCACTGCAATGCCAAACTAATATCCGTGTAGAAAATCTACTTTTATTCTTCAATAATTGTCTGAAGCATTTGTCAATACATCTCCCCCAATAAAACGTAGAGGCGAGTACAGTTAAGCACTGTTCAAGTAAACTCAACTTTCTCTTCACATACACAGACATAGCCACCTTACCCCAGCCCGCAAAACACATACACACAGTTGGAAAAATAATAATAGCTATTTGTGAAATGTGAAACTAAATATATTCTTACTTTTCTGTAGTTTTGACAATGAACATGTGTTGCATATTTTAAATATTATCTTTTACTGGTATAAACTATGAGTCCATATTTTTGTGAGGGCACTCAAAGAGTAGAAATGTAATAAATCAAGGCAGAATGTATAGTAAATACAAATGATTTTTGAGGATTGCAAAGATATTTATGGATGAAACATGATAGATGCAGGCTTACAAGCACATATGTATTCATAATGGGAATTTGCATCTTCCCTTTCTCTCTTATTACTGTGAAATATTCTCACCTTAAAGTTTATAACTAAAAGACAAGGCCGGGCATAGTGGCTCATGCCTGTAATCCTAGCACTTTGGGAGGCCGAGGTGGGAGGATCACCTGAGGTCAGGAGTTCAAGACCAGCATGGCCAACATGGCAAAACCCTGTCTCTACTAAAAATACAAAGATTAGTCAAGCATGGTGGAACACACCTATGATCCCAGCTACTCGGGAGGCTGAGGCAAGAGAATGGGTTGAACCAGAGAGGCAGAGTTTGCAGTGAGCCAAGATAGTGCCACTGCACTCCAGCCTGGGCGACAGAGCAAGACTCTGTCTCAAAAATAAATAAGTAAATAAATAAATAAAAATGAAAGACAGCAGATGGTGAAGGGAAATATAACAAGAATAGGTCACTCAAATTACTGAGTGTCCTTCTTTCAAACTTCTAAGGAAAGATGCCTTCTTGCATTATTCCACAAGATACTTCTCAGAGTAAACTGCATAAAATAAAGAAGTTTCTACTGATTCAAAAATATTTTATTTTATTTGTGCCAATCTGAATGTTTTCTATCAATCACTGCTACTTTTGTAAAAATATTGCTTAGGATGTAATTGTTATTGATCATTAATATTCAATTACAATTTTTGCTTTTTTACATTATAGATTTTGTATTTGTCTCAATTATATTCTCATATTATCATACTTAGAAGTATTAGTATTAATATATGCTAAAATTTATTATGATTATATTAATATAACAGCTTTTATAACACAGAAAAAAATTTTGCTAGCATCTCCTGAAAGTAATTCAGAAAAGTTTATATTTTATTTAAAAATGAAACTAAAATATAGTTTCTGATTATAGCAATAGTATGACTTCAAAATAATTTTAAAATACTGAATATTTTGTCCTGTCTCAGTTTTTAGTATATTTATATTTACCAAAATTGATAATTATTTAGAAGAAAAAGCCAATTTGCATTTCAACGTGGAATATAAAAAGAGATAATGCCTTTCCTTATAATTTATTTATCAATAGAGCTAAATCAACAGTGAGAGAATACTTTATGATGGAGTGGCAGTTAATACACACACACTCTCTCTCATAAATTACATATTACTCCTTAATACCTGAAATACAAACATATCTACTGAAGTGACTGAAATTGTATGAAGAGTCTAAAATTTAACATTTTAACATAAGAGAATATTGAGTATCAGAACAACTTGTTTGTATTTGAGCAGATTGATGATTTTGTTAATGAAGTTACATAATTGATTATTTTCTTAACATTTGAGTTGACTATGAGTTTAATTTATAGCAAAACTCTTACAAATGCAAAATAAAATACTGTTTAAAACAAACTCCAGTAAAATGTTGTTGCAAAATATCTCTGTGTAATATAGAGAAACTAGATTCATGCCCTTCAGAATATTTATTTTATCCCTGTAGATTATTAATATTGGGTTCAAAGACTCCTGAATTTTGAACAAATATACAGACTGAAGCAAAATAGAAATATAATAGAAGACATTATAGAGACAATGCCTGGATGTTGGTTGAAAATTCAAAGGTAAATATTTTGTCATTGAGAAAATAGCAAATCCTAGAGGTCTGCTGATATTTCATTTTAAATTTATTTTTTACTTATAATTGACACATAATAATTGTGCATATTTCTGATATGTAATGTAATGTCTCACTGTATGTACAGTGTAATGATTAAATCAGGGTAACCATCATATACATCACTTTTAGCATTATTTATTTGTAGTGACAACATTCAAAATCTCTTCCAGTGATCTTTAACTACACGTTGTTACTTGCTACAGTCATCCTAGTGTGTAAAGAACACTAAAGCGTATTCCTACTATCTGCAACTTTGTACCCATTGACCAACTTCTCCCATTCCCCTTATTCTCCCTCATATCCCCAGTCTCTGGTAACCAATATTCTACACACTCTACTTCCATGAAATAAACTTTTTTTAGATTTCACGTATGAATGAGATCATATGGTATTTTTCTTTTTGTGTCTGGCTTATTTCACTTAACATAACGTTCTCCAGGTTCATTCATGTTGCTACAAATGATAGAATTTTATTCTGTTTTATGGCTACATAGTATTCCATTATGTATATAGCCATATTTTCTTTACCCATTCTTCATTGGATGGGCATTTAGGTTGATTCTGTACCTTGGCTTTTGTGACCAGCTCTGCAATAAACATGGGCATGCACATGTCTTTGCTACTTATTGCTTTTCTTTTGGATAGATACCCAGTTATGGGATTGCTGGATCATATGGTAGTTCTATTTTTAATTTTTTGAAGAAACTACACTGGTTTCCACAATGGTTGTACTAATTTACATTCCCACCAACAGTGTATAAAAGTCCCTTTTCTCCACATCCTCATCAGCATTTGTCACATTTTTGTCTTTTTGATAACAGCTATTCTAATGAGGGTTAGGTGATATCTCATTTTAGTTTTTATTTGCATTTCTCCAATGATTAGTGGTGATGAACATTTTTTCATATACCTGTTGGCTATTTGTATGTCTTCTTTTGAGAAAAGTCAGTTTGGGTCCTTGGCCCATTTATAAATTGGATTTTTTTTGTTATTGTTGTTTGTATGCTATTGAGTTGAGTTCCTTATATCTTCTGGACATTAGCTACTTGTCAGATGCATAATTTGCAAATACTTTCTCCCATTCTGTAGGTTGTCTCTTCACTTTATTGTTTCTTTGCTGTGCAGAAACTTTTCTGTTTGATATAATCTCATTTGTCTATTTTTGCTTTGGTTGTCTGTTCTTTGAGTCTTACTCAAAAATTCTTCACTCACTCCAATTCGTGAAGAATTTCCTCTGATTTTTTTTAATCATTTTATACTTTTTAGTCTTACATTTAAGTTGTTGGTCTATTTAAAGTTGATTTTTTATATAATGAGATATAGGGATCTAGTTTTATTTTTCTGCATGTGGATATCCAGTTTTCCCAATGCCATTTACTACATTAACAGAATCAAGGTAAAAAATTAAATGATTATTTCAATGGATGCTGGAAACACATTTGATAATATTTCATATCTCTTTATGATAAAAACCCTCAACAAAGTGGGTATAGAAGGAACATGTCAGCACAATAAAGGCTATATATGACAAGCCACAGCTCACTGAATGGGTAAAATTCAGAGAAAAATTTTTATCTGAGTTCTAGTACAGGGCAATGATGCCCATTTTCATTACCTTTATTCAACACAGTACTAGAAGCCTTAACCAGAGTAAACTGGCAAAATAAAGAAAAAGAGTGCATAGAAATTGTAAAGGAGGAAGTTGTCCCTGTTTGCCTATGACACGATTGTACATATAGAACACCCTAAAAATTTCAGCAAAAAAAAAACTATTAGAATTAACATATTTAGTTAAGTTGCAGGATACAAAACCAACATGTTAAATCAGTAACATTTCTACACACCAATAGTGAATTATATAAAAAAGAAATCAAGAAAGCAATTTCATTTATAATAGCTACAAAGAATGTATACCTAGGAATAAACTTAACTAAGAACATAACAGGTTTCTATAATGAAAACTATAAAGTAATAATGAAGGAAATTGAAGAGGACACAAATAAATGAAAAGAGATAACCTGTTCACAAATTAGAAAAATTAATATGAAAATGTCTGTATTACTCAAAACAATCTACAGATGCAATGCAATTTCCATCAAAATGCCAATTACATTTTTCAGAGATAGAAAAAAATTCTAAAATGTATATGGAAAGGAAAAAGAAAATGGATAGTTAAAAAAAAATCTTGTGCAATAATAGCAAACCTGGAGGTATCACACTACCTCACTCTAAAATATTCTACAAAACTATAGCAACCAAAACAGGATGTTACTTGCATAAAAACAGGCATATAGACTAACGTAACAGAATAGACAACTGAGAAATAAATCTATGTATTTACAGCCAAGTGATTTTCAACAAAGACCTCAAGAAGGCACACTGAGAAAAGGACAATCTTTCAAAATTCCATTTAATACAATTGAATTCAATCAGGGTCATGACTTACATAAACAAAATTGAATTGGAAATGACTGTTCAATACTGACAGGAAAAAAAAAAACACAACATATCTGGTATAAGTTTAAAAGTTGGTGAAGTGTGGTATCTCTAAAAACTTCTCCTATACCGCCTTATTTCACATTGACATTCTGTTTAATTTAGCAAAAACACATAAATTGCTCTCCATTAGGAACTGAATCATTAGCTCTACCAGCTTTGCCACAAAGTGAGTTATTTAACCTATTTGGACCTCAGTGTTTTTAGTTGAAATTAGGAATTATAGTAACTTGAAATTTCCTATAAAACACAAACTAAGAGACAAATTCAAAGCTACAAAAATTTGTCATCAAAAAGTAAAATGGCCCCTGAGTCAGAGAAAGTTTAGAATGAAGACACTGAAGTGTCTTTTAATAATACATAGATCACAGTAAGAGTTGGGCAGCTTCTGAGAAACAGACAAATGTCAGAGAGGCTTCTTTCAGAAGCATTCATCTCATCTTTTGCAGACAGGATAGAACCTACTGCTGTTAAATTTTGAGTGTTATTGTTCTGGGCATCTTCAACAAGAGATTGAGAACTCTTATTGTAATTGTGTTGACCCATTTAGTTCTTTCTTGATGAATACCAAATGTTACATGGTTAAGAGCACAGATTTAAATCCAGATTGGCTGGATTCAAAATCCAAGCTCTTGTACTCTGAGACATATGAATTTCAGAAAGTAATCTGACATCTCTGTTTCAGCTATTCCTCATCTATAAAGATATTGTTACAAGGACAAATGGGATAATATTTATAAAGTGCTTAGAAGAGTGTCTGACACATAGCAAGAACTCTACACATGGTTGAAAATAATAACAGTAATAATGATTGGGCTTTTAACTTAAAGCCACCTACAAGGGAAGAATATGTGGCTTGTGTAATATAACTTTTTCCCTGAAAGACATATCACTTTTACAAGGAAAAATAAGATTAGATTTCTAAACCTTTGAGTCTGAGGATCAGAACTCTGATCAATTTGCCAATGTCATCAATGCCAACACAAGCTTCTTGTGGTAGACTTAACTAGGCAGTAATAGCGATTCCTGACTTGCCTTCTGGAAGTGAAACTTCAATGATAGGTCTGCATTAGAGACTTGGAAAGCACAAATGAAAGAGCCACACTTTGAAAGAGCTAAGATGAAAGGGTTAGAATTCAACTATATCTGTCTGACTACCGAGCCTGAGATTTGTCTATTTTTTTTAATATTTTATTATGGTGAATTTCAAACATGTTTAATAGGAGACAGAATAGGATAATGAACTTCCATGCATATATCACCTAACTTCAACAGCTACCAACCCATAGCCAATCATGTCTCATTTTTATTCTTTTTCTCACTTCCTGACTTCAGATATTTAAAGGAAAGAAAATAATAGTTTGTGTGAATTAGAAATTAGAAAAAAATCATAAACTGTGAATTAAACAGAAAGTAAAAATCCTTCCTTTCAGACCAGTATGGTCAGAGGGCTACCATAATTCAAATTATGAAAAATTAAATAAATTTAACTTTGGACTTATAAACATAAAAATATAGAAAAAAAATTACCTATCATTTGGATCTCTTGAATGTGTTGAATATCTAACAAAATGTGCAAACAAGCATGAACTGAATTTGAAGTGTGGTGGGAATCAAGTTGAATAAAATTGCGTTATTTTTCTAACTCAGATTATATGTAATGCAATGTTAAATGAAATAATACCTCTTCAATTTCTTGAGCAGGACTGAAATTAAATTTTTTTTATGCCTTTGTGGTTTTTCTTTTAGTCTCTTCCACTTTCTATTTTTCTGAACACTTCCATGTATCCCTTTTATGTCCCTTTGCCTTTCCTAATAATATTTATTCTCCCTTCTTAATCATGTCAATTAGACCTGCTTTATTAAGCAAAACTTAGTTAAAGTGCTGTCTTTTCTTGTCAGTACGTCCTAAAATCACTATTCCTGTATCATTTATTAAGTATCCTGCTTTTGGTATTTTCCTCTAAATTCTCGTAACACTTAATGATTGATACAGTCACACTGCTGAATTGTTGTCAATCTTCTAGGTATAAAAAAAATTGTCATCTTAGTTTTATTATAGTTGTGGCATTTTTTTCTCTTTTGAATTATGTATATATTTCTGTCCTGATCATCATTATAATAGCACATATTACATAGTAATTTGGCATTTATTTTCTTGTTGCTTTCCAACACTGGACTGTCTACTCCTTGAATACCCAAGCTTATTCATTTGTATCTCTTCTAGGAGCAGGAAGATTTGGAGCAGAAAGATTATGAGTTTCTTTTTGGACATAATATTAAAGAGTTGTCTTAGATATTTAAAAGAAAATATCAAGTAAGCCTCTGAGAGTATGCTTCTGAATCTCAAAGAAGAGATTTAGGGTAGAGGTCCTATGGGGGGTAAAAAATAATCATTGGCTTCAAGGACAGTGAAGGCATTGAGTTCTGAATAGGAGATATTTGGAATGAGACATAGGGCAGAAGCCAGATAGGAGTGGAGTGAGGAGAGTCTTTCAAATGAGGAAGTGGGGATGACAGGCATTAATAACCCTTATAATAGCTTGGCTGTGAAAGAGAGAGAATTTTAGAGGAATATGAGGTCCAGGGAAGTTTAGACTTTTTAAAATTTAATATCAGAGAGCATGATGTTTTTATGGTAATTTTAATATGTTTTTTAAGAAATGTTAAATATTAAGAAAGCAAGCATAATTGATATTACCAAGTTTTTAAAAAGATGATAGGGTATAGGAGCCAAATCACATAGAGACATCTATAGATAAGAGAACGACAAGCTTATTTACTTAACTGAAGAGGAGAAATGAGAAAGAGGATTATTATGGATCGAAATGAGTTTTGGTAGCAAGAGTTTAAGAGAATGTATGATTAATGGTGTGTGTGTGTGTGTGTGTGTGTGTGTGTGTGTATAAATAACATGAGTCAAGGTGTATATTAAGAGAGAGCTGAAAAGAGAGATCAATATATAGAGAGAGAAGCTGAGAAAGAAAATACCTAGGGTTATTAGAGTGATGTTGTATAAATAAAGTATTGGTGACAGAATAAAAGTAAGCATAGATTTTGAGTTGTAGAATCTTACATTGTATATATCTGTATCCTCTAGTTTCTTGGAAAGTACCTGATAAATAAAAGAAACAAATGTTGACTACTTTTCTCTTCATTTCTCTATAGATTTTCTTACCATAAGCACTGTTCACACACTGTTGTTCAAGCTACTTTGAAGAAATAAGGTCTTCTGTAGGGAGATCTATCTATCTACCTACCTACCTACACACACATATACATACATATGTGCACATATGTATGTATATGTGTATATGTATATGTATATATACATATGTATATGTATATGTATGTATATGTATATATACATATGTATATGTATATGTATGTATATGTATGTATATGTATATATACATATGTATATGTATGTATATGTATATGTATGTATATGTATATATACATATGTATATGTATGTATATGTATATGTATGTATATGTATATATACATATGTATATGTATGTATATGTATATATACATATGTATATGTATGTATATGTATATATACATATGTATATGTATGTATATGTATATATACATATGTATATGTATGTATATGTATATGCATATATATATACATTGTTTAATAAAATGCCAGATATATATATCTTTCCCCACAGGAGAGTTTATATGTTTTATATAATATATACACATGCACACATGCTTTATATAACATATACAAATACATTATATGTAACATATACACATTATTTATAACATGTGTTTCACTAGAAATGACTCACAGAACCCCACATGACCATATTTCTCCTTTAATTTTAATCACCATCCCAAATCTTTCACTCATTTATTAACATGAGACTCATAGCCTAGACACTTTTTTTTCTATGTACTATGCAAAAGGGAAATAAGAGGAATAAAGGAAATAAATTAAGAGGGAAAGTCACATTTGATTAAGATTAGATATGAAAGCATAGAAAGGACAAAATTGTACAACATGAACACAAAAAGACAAAGAATAGTGATCATTTGTAGAGACAGAAGACAAGAATATTTAGGTAAATAAATACTGATAAAGGTAGCTCATGCTATGATGAAACAATAGAGGAAAGAGGGAACAGAACCCACCCACCCCCATCACTATTAATCCAACAGCTGCAACTCATTTCAGACTTTAAGGGTGAAATAGGCAACAATAGATGGAAATGATGTAAAATTATTGTAGAGAAGTAGCTACCTTGTGGTAGGTATTATTCTTGGTATTTTCAGTAAAAGAAAAAAGAGGAAGAATTTGATAAAAGTGACTAGAGAGGTTTCCACATTCACAATACCTAAGATCTTTATTTCCTTTTCAGTTAATTTTAACTTCACATTTTAAAATTTAAGTGACATTTAACAGCATATTTTAATATTTATACATAAATTTAATATAACTCATCCTTTATGTGGTTGCTAAATCTATATTCTTGTTCTTCATTTAAAAAATGTAGAAAAAGGCATACAAACAATTGTATAATATGCTTTAAACAGATGCAGGCTAGGTCAACATGTTCCATATTTATAGGTCTAGCTACCCTTGATTATGGTGCATTCAGTTTCCTGGAGGAAAGGAAGGTAATTGATTATGTTATCATTTAAATAAAATGCCAGTGAAAATAATTTAAAAACCAGTTTCACCACCCATATAATATTGTACATAAAAAGACAATCCAAGAAGAAATCAATATACTTGAGTAAAAAGACAAATCTCAGTTTCCAGCAACCATATAAATAGCACCTATTGCAAGCTGCTTGCTATCATTAACTATAGTCCTATATACTTAGTAGTAGCCGAATGTGGAAGAAAGTATGCATACATAGGCTTAACTAATGGGAACATTTTTTTTCTCTTTTCTAAGGCAACATGACTTGTATGTTTCTTTCTAGCAGAGCCACATTTTTAAGGCAAATGAGTTTGAACCTCAGTATTGAAAGACATGTGAACTTTAAGAGGAGAGTAAAATATATTCTAATATAGAGTGGCGGGAAAAATAGCATAAGCATAAACCCTGGGGGAGAAATTAACACTGTTGAATAGGACTATGAGAATGTAATCTATTGTCACTAAACAAAAAATAGGATTAGAAAGGTGTTTGGTTTAGGAGAAGGAAAAGAAAAAATATAGTAGGAGTGCTTTAAGGAGAGTGACTGTGATAGATTTATGGAGCTAGATATAATTTTCCCATCTGTAAACACAAAGTTGATTGGCTATCATGAGCTAACACCTGTCAAATTCATTGAGCTTGTGCTAGAAGTCTCTACAAAACTTGCTTTAAAATTTAGCAAGCTTAAAGCTTTAGAATGTTAAATAATAAATGATTGAGGTTTTGTTCCTTATTTAAGCCATCAAACTAATGTACTCTGTTGAAATGGCATAGCGTCCAGTGACATGATGCTGATTTTATCGTATCAAGACAAAAATAAACTATAACATTGTCACATGGCTGAGAATGGCTTGAGAACAATAACCACAGCGCTTGAGAAGACAAAGTAGTTTCATGACAAAAGCTAAAATCAGCACACTCTTCCAAGAGAATTGGTTTAAAAATCAACAAGACTATGTGTACATTGGGGAGAAAAAGTTGGGTTACTAAACATGAGGTTTAGTGAATATGTTATAGGGAATGAAATATAGATTATTGTTAAAGTTTAACTTGTAAAGTCTTATGTATTTTAAATAGTGATGACTAAAGTCTAAGGAATAAATATTTGCTGCAACTAAACTTATCGAAACTTTCTCATGGGACTTTATGTACACATCTAAGAAAATACATACACATAAATTATATGTTTTTATGCATTAAATATCTCAATGGAATCAGAAAAAATCAGTTAGATTTGCATATATTCCCTTCAGGATGCAAAAATATGGACAGAATATTGAACATTCTCACTTGGTTTTCAGGCTGCTGTGGTAGCAGATAAATGGCTATAAACTTTAGAGGAATAATTACAACTAAATGGTTCCTAAGGAAATGGCACACTTGTTTAAATGTTTCTTCTCTATTGTAGCTATTTTGTGTTGTATATAAAATATCAACAATTGTGGGTTCTTGGAACAAATTCATAATTTGGGGAATTGAGTGGATTATATTACTGATTTCTAATGGAATCATTTATATAATTATATATACACAAATAACCTTTGGGTATGAGATGAGTTGTTTCCTCTTTTCATATTAATTAGCATGCATATTAACAAGAGAAGGAAATGTCACATATGTCTGATTTGTGTGTATATGTGCTGTGATCTCTGAAAATGGGTACTGAGGCTGAGGCAGGAGAATTGCTTGAAGCCGGGAGGCGGAGATTGCAGTGAGCCGAGATGGTGCCACTGCACTCCAGCCTGGGTGACAGAGTGGGACTCTGTCTCAAAAATAAATAAATAAATAAATAAATAAATAAATAAATAAATAAATAAATAAAATATTATATTGGAACAGGAATTAAAAGAAATTAATGTGTAAGCAAAAACTCAGTTGTATGTAAGAAAAACCAGTTCCCCTGAGGAAGAGAAAGAGCTGAAGTCCTTTAAAAATTGACTGCCTGTTTTTCTGTGGCTAGTGAGCCTCATCTCTCTCTAGCTGTGCAGCTGCAAGGTCACTAGACAGAGAATCTCAAGATATAAAACATGCTGTTCCTGGAAAAGTAAGAAAGAACGTAATGCATGTCTTCATTGAATAACTGTCTTTGTTTCTCGCTTCTGTAATACGCTTCCCCCTGCACAAATCTCCCCCTGCCCCACAAAATGCTTAAAAGGTAGCTTGACTCTTTGTTCGGGGCTCAGTTCTTTGTATGTTAATCCAACTGGGTCGGTGCTCGGTCTCTCTGATTCCTTAATTATCCCGCTGCAATATAGCTGAGGATCAGATAAGAACGTTAATCTTCCTCATCCATTTGATCTATCTGATCAAAATTATGAGTTGATAATGGACTAAAATTGATGTAGTTTATTGACCCAAGTAGAATATATTCTAATTATGTCCTATTTTTTCCATAATTCATGCAGTTTAACAGAAATGGCAATATATGTAATGCTTTGAGGTAAATACTTGCTTTGCTGAGATGATTAATTTGATAACCAGCTTGGGGGAAGCCCTGAGGGGTAAGCTCCGTTTTTACTCACTCTGCTGCTTCCTAATAACTAGTATTTGGAGTGTGGATGTGACATGCATAGCCTGAGTAGCTGTGAATAACTGTGGTCAGCACAGGTACAAACAGAGCTGTAGAACCAATGAAGTGGAGAGGATGGAAGAGGGGAAGGGACTGACTTATGAGGAGGGATTTGAGTCCAAATAGAAAATGAATTAGACATATACATTTAAGATGGATTTGGGTGTAATCTTTGTACCTCTCCTGTGTCAACCCAATATTTTTTCACTTAACCTCTACATTACTTACTAGTGCATTAGAGTTGTTTCTCTTTATTTATAATCTACCAGATTCTGTCTCTATTGATTTTTACTTCATCTTTAAAATTCAATAAAATGAACACTAGAATTCCACATGGACATAGGTTGAGCTAGTTATTCATTGGAGGTTTGCCAAATTTGGATAACACGATTCTATTTTCATATAATTTGTAATGTTTATTGTTTCTACTTTTATCCAAACCTAATTCTGTTATCTCCCCTGTAGCAGGTTTGATAGGTGTCATACAATATTTTTTACCTAATTGTGTATGTTTAACTAATTGTAATTAGTGTGCCCTCTTCAATCTGTGGACTTGTTCTCCTCAGACTCTAACATTTTTTTGTGAGCAGAAAGAGCTTTGTTTTTTAAAAAAATGTTCTCTATTCATTATGAGCAATTGTTTTTTGTTGTTTATAGGCTAGCAGTTTATTATTTCATTTTTAAAGCATGTTTACTGCATTACATTAGACACTAAAGATACAAATGTAAACAAGTTTTAGCTCCAATTTTGACAACACAGGAGTATAACCAGAAAGTATTTGGATTAGTCAAGTCCTTTTGAATTGCATGTGACCAAAATTCTAATCTCATAGAGGCTCAAGGATCCACTAATTCATATATTCATGAACCTAATATGTTAATCCTACTTAGAGAAAAACAAAAGTCAAAAGACAGGCATTCCATGGATTCCAGGAATTCTGGGCATGTGTGACTGCTGGAAGAGCTGAGAGGATTGATGTGAAAGACATCTCCAATGAAGATCAGGGAATTCATGAGTCAGGTTTGGTCAAAGAAGCAGAATCACTAGAAATGATATGGAATTTAATATCCCTATTATAGGATTTTGGCCTTACACAGTGTGGGAATTGGTTAACAAGTTTATGTCCAACTATTGTTTCTCTGTCAGGTGCTAGCCTGAAGTCAGAAAGGCAGACAGTGAAGAAGGAAAGGTAAATGCGGAGTGGAAGAAAGCAAGGACAAATTAAAATCCATGAGGACAAACTGTAACCTATGAGAATGAGCTGAAACACATTTGAGCATCTCATGATGTCTAACCTCACCTTCTGTGATATGACCAACCTGAAATCAAAGGTGGTCACCTAAACGTGCATCTGTCTTGGGAGTCAGAAAAGCTAAAGAAGGAGATACTGAAGAAGATGGAGGAGGTATAGACTGTGCTCTGCTTCATGCCCACAAAGTAGAAAGAAGGATCCATCACAATGCAAGTTTAAACAGTGCCTAAACCAACATTGATATAGTATCCATTACTGTGGAAGCTGCTTCACTTTCACCTACAAGTCTCCCTGAATTTCTCGAGGTCAATCTCATCCCAGAAGCAAATAAGAGAGAAAATTCTGTGAAACATAGTTCCAGATTAGCTGACACAGAATCAAGTCATCAAAGGGAAACTGTATAAATGTCACTAAAGACCTCACCTTGAAGCACTGAAGCAGGTCATTCTCAAAATTTCACAGCAAAGCTGCTATAATTCTCAGGACTCTCTGAGAAACTCCTATCAAAACTCTGCAGAAGCAAAGTGAGTGGTTCTCAGAAGCTCAGTGGGAAGCCACTGAATCTTATGTCTGCCCCACACATCAAACTGTACCTGTGCTAAGAGAATAATGGCTATTCCTTCTCTTCTACCTTCTAAATTTCTTGAGTGTCGCTTACTGGAACAACTCAAAGCCAGAACCATTACAGGGAGGAGAGTCGGGGAAATAAATTCCTGGCTCGTCTCTTGCAATGGTGAAACACATTAAAAGAGGAAATCCTTCAGATGCTAAATTACCAAGTGTCAATCCAGACAATATAAGTATTCAGTGAGCGTTCCTACATAGGAAAGGATATAACATGTCCTTGGAAGATCAGGAAACTGGTAACAGAAAAGATGATATTTGAGAAGACTCTTAAGGAAAAATAAAAATATATTCAAGCAGCGAATGCAATGATATGAAGGCTGGGAAAGGAGGGTGGAGAAGGCAGAGCTTAAGCAAAGGCACATATGGATGGGAACACGTGGCATATACCAAGAACTATAGTCATTGAAGATAACTACAGTTCAGGGTACATGAGGAATGAATGGAGAGGAGTCTAGAAAGGCAGGAAAAGAAGGCTTAAAGGCAATGGGTGTAGTTTATGAGAGAATAATGTGGTTAAATGTGTCCTTTAATCAACCAGTAATAGGCAGCAATGAGGGACTCAGAGTACAAGACTGGCAACAGAAATTGCAACTAAATACCAATTTCAGAATATTTAAGTGAGAAATGATAGAAAATGACTTAAAACTTGATAATTGGAGTAAAACTATGAAATATGATTGAGAAACAACAAAATGACCAAATTAACAAATGTGATAAGGTGAAGAGGCCTCATAGGGTCACGGCATAGAAAGCTGTCTACTGCAGTAGAGAAGACAGGAGAACTAGACAAATTCAGAGGGAAAGTATGAGTTTGGTTTAAAACACATTACAGTTAGTATTCTGTAAAATGTTTACATTATGCTGTTTAACGTACAATTGTAGATATGAGTGTTCAACTCATTCATGGAAGAAGCCTGGGTGAAAACAGGTATTTGTGAGTTATTGAAACATAGTTGAGATTCAGACTTGGATGAATGTTTGTTGAATAAACACACCAAGTCATGAGAAAAACACTTCTTATTAAGTAGTTAAGCACTCAGCACTATGCCTCAATTGTGAACTTTTAAAAAAGTGAATAAAAAAGTGTTCCTGCTCAGAAAGCAACAAGTAGACATCTATGTGTGTGTGTGTATATGTGCAATTCAGATTTTAAACTTAAGGAGAACATTCAGCACTCCACATCTGTGGGCTCTGCATCTATGAGTTCAACAATCATGGATCAAAAATATTTGGAAAAAAATACAAAGTAAAAATATAACAAAAATAATACAAATTTTAAAAATGCAATATAACAACTTTACACAGCAATTGTGTTAAGTATTATAAGTAATCTAGAGATGATTTAAGCTGTACGAGAGGATGTGTGTGGGTTGGATGCAAACACCTTGTCATTTTATATAAGAGACTTAGGCATCCTTGGATTTTCATATCTGTGGGAGGTGCTGACACCAATACCCCATGGATGATGATGGTATAAGAAATCCACTCATAAGCAACTGAATAAGGTAAAACAGTGCAGATATTACATGTAGATGATTTGTTAGACTCTCCATGACAAACCTCATTAGCTTTATAATTTTCAGCTTCAGGGTCTTTACCTGTGTAGTGCTGTGGGTAAAAGAAATTTAAAAAGCATATATGGGCCAGGTGCAGTGGCTTACACCTGTAATCCAAGCACTTTGGGAGACTGAGGCTGATGGATCACCTGAGGTCAGGAGTTTGAGACCAGCCTGGCCAACGTGGTGAAACCCCGTCTTTACTAAAAATACAAAAAAATCATCCGGGCCTGGTGGCATGTGCCTGTAATCCCAGCTACTCAGGAGGCTGAGGCAGGAGAATCGCTTGAATTCAGGAGTCGGAGGTTGCAGTGAGCCAAGGTCATGCCACTGCACTCCAGCCTGGGCAACGGAGCGAGACTCCATCTCAAAAAAAAAGAAAAGAAAAGAAAAGAAAATTATGTATGAAATTATTATTTGACAAAGAAATGAAATTCTATTAAGAGTTGTTATAAGAGTAAATGTGGGTAAATGTGGCTATTTATAGTCTAAACATTTAGATGTTCAGTCATCTAAATGATTATAAGTATCCTGCAGTAGTTTAGTCCAGACATCCAAACAATTGACTTTATGTTACAGTTTTCATGCAGATTTTAAAGTGAAGACAACACTTAACGACACTAAATAAGCATATATTTTGTCCATACTTAATTTGTCCATTATTCCTGGTAATACAATACTTACTATTCAGTGGGGGAAAAGAGCAGTAGAGTTTTTATATTATGATGGTAAACAAATGAACAAAAAGGGCTGCTTTTCAGAATCTTCTGTCTTGAAGCACTGCTTAATTTGTACACACTTCAGCTTTTCCCCAAGCTCTTAACCGCTGATGATAAATACCAGGGGAAATAAATACACATGATATACACAAAGATAGAATCATTCATATCCTCTAACTCCTTAAGAGTTATTGAGTGCCATACATTCCTCCTTCATGGTCTGCCTTCAGTGTTAAAAAAAAGTTTATAACTTGTAAATTGATAATCATAGTTTTATGTTTTTATGGGGTCAAAGTGATGTTATAACTTATGAATACAATGTGGAAATAATTAATTCAAGCTAATTAACATTTCCGTCACCTCAAATACTTTTTTTGTAGTAAAAACAAGTTTTTTTCTTAGCAATTTTGAAATATATGTTATTTTCTATATTCACCATGCTGTGCAATATATCTAAAAGAAAAAAAAAAACCCTTATTCTTGTTGTCTAATTGAGACTTTGTTTTCTTTTACCATCATCTCCTCATCCCTTCTACTCCCCTGAGCCCAGCCTCTGGTAACCACCATTCTACTGTCTACTTCCTTGAGTTTGATTGATTGTTCTAAATCTCACAAACGTAAGTGAGAACATGAGGTATTCATGTTCTCAGCTTGCTACTGGGATTTTATGGCAAGTAAAGCAGACATGGACTCTGATATGGTTTGGCTCCATGTCCCTACCAAAATCTCACCTTGAATTGTAATCTCCATAATCCCCATGTGTCAAGGGCAGGACCAGGTGGAGGTAATTGAATCATAGGGGTAGTTTCCCCCATGCTGTTCTCATAATAGTGAGTTCTTACCAGATCTGATGGTTTTATAAGGGGCTCTTTCCCCTTCACTTGGCACTTCTCTCTCCCGCTGCCTTGTGAAGAAGGATATGTCAGCTTCCTGAGGCCTCCTGAGCTACATGGAACTGTGAATCAATTAAACCTCTTTCCTTTATAAATTACCCAATCTTGGGTGGTTCTTTATAGCAGTGTGAGAATGGACTAATACAGGCTCTGATCACATGCAGCATGCATTCTTATAGGTGAGAAACACATTAATCAGATAATAACAAAAATATATCTTTATAAACTGTGATACATACTATAAAGGAAAAATAGAGTGTCATAAGAGTTATAATGAGATATAGCCAAATGTGGGGATTAGAAAATATTTTCATGATGAAACAATGCTTGAATTAAAGAGTTGAAGGATATTTAGGAAAAAAAGAAGAAAGCTTAAGAGCAAGGAGAAAAATATTCCCAGAAGGGCCTTGAGGCTATATGACATGCAAGGAACTGAAGGAAAGAGTGTGAGAGAGTTTCTGAAAGCAAGGAGGCTCTGGGTGAGATGAGGCTGAGAATTAAGAAGTGACCAAACCCTTCAGGGCTATGTAACTTTTGTTATGGGCAAAGTTACCCAAGCAAACTCTGTGCCATCTCTTTCCACAGTAGAGACGTTAAACCATTATCAAAAGTGGCTGTAGTTCTCAACCCTTAAGTTGCATCAGAACCATCTGCAGGAATTAAAGTACAAATTTAGAAACACAAATTTCTGGTCCATATATGCAGAGTTTTTGATTCAGTAGGTTTGGGTTGGGGCCCAATAATTTGCATTTCTAACAAGATCCTAGAGTACGCTGATGTTGCTGGTCCGGGGCTCACACTTGGTGTCACTCTTAGGTAATCTGACTAAGCCAACATTTCTATTTTGTATACTTGTATCATGAAAGGATAAATGCATAATTGGTGACATGTTCTTGATTCTCTTCACCATGACAGTACTTTTCATACTCAAGCAACTCAAGCACTCTAGATTGGGAATCAACAGACATGCCACTAATTATATATTTGCTCTCAATCTATGTAAGATGGAGTTTCCTTATCTCTTCAGTGTTTTCCCTAAACTTGTTTACTCAGAGCAATTGATTTGATCCTATAAACACCTCTGGGAGTTAGGTAGACCTGAAATTATTATACCTTTCTGCTAACGATTTAACCATCATTAAATGGCTTCTCCACAGACACCCAATTAAAATGGGGCTGAAACCAGAGCTTCATTTAAATCTCTTCATTCCCCATGCTTTACCCTTTCAATTATGCAGCATTTAAATTAACATTATGTTTTCTTCCAACAGTAACATTTACTGTTTCTATTAAGTGCCTGATAAATTGTCTTAATAGTCATAACCCTACACTATTAACAGGAAATTAAAACTCAAGTGGTTTGTTATCCTGTCATTATTCTGAAATGTAAGTCAAGTTTGTATCACTTGATATCCTCGGCAAATGACTTTAATGGGTTCCCTTTAACACAGGGACTAGAATCTTTCGTATACCCAAATATAATTTTACAGGGAAAAAAACCTGGGGGAAAACAAACAATACGGTAATTTATTCAAAAGATAGCAGTAGGGGTAATTATTAAAGCATCTATTTCATCAAGGATAGAAATTTGAATTGGAGAAATGTACGTGTTTGGGTGTGTGGGAAGGGGATGAATTACTAAATCCTATCTTAGTAGGTTTATTTCTGTGTGTGGTTTTTTTTTTTTGGAAAGTAATTGACATCAAACATTCTCCCATCTGTATAGCAAAACATACTATTACCTCATTTCTTATTTGAATGTAATAATTGATAAAGATTATTTGCTTCATATTTGTTCATGTTCTCTCATATGGACTTATAACTGATGAGACACTAATCTCTAGCTGCTTTTCACAGTATTGCCATTCATATTTTGCAGTTTTCTTACAAAATTTGTGTATAATTTACAGTTTTTAAATAATTGTTTTCACAGTGGATAATGGGGTAAAATATTTTATTTGGAAATTTGTAGATATGCTTCATTTTTTTATTCATTCACTTACTGCATCACTGAAGCAAAGTTCTAGGTATTAGAGATACTTAACAAAGCAGATTAAATAATTCATGTTGTCTAAGAATTACATCCCAGTAGAAAAAATGAGACCTGATAGATAATTAGTTGACAGTAAAGTCTATGAAGAAAAATAAAACTCAGAGTTCAGAGAGAGTTGGAAAAGTTGTTTTCACTTTAAATAAGGTAATGAGGTAATATTCACAGAGAAAGTGAGTTTTAAATGAAGGCCTGAGTAACATGAGAGTGTGGGCCCTGCAGCTGGTTATCTGGGCGAACAACACTGCAGGAAGAAAACAGAAAGTGCAAAGCAGAGGTGTGCTATTTTGGGGAGACAGCAAAAGCCATGTGCAGGAAGCTGAAGAGCAGAGCAGATGGGGATGAGACTCGAGAGTGGGAGCGGAATTGTTTAGCGCTTCATTTGAAAGTTAACATTGTGGAGAGAATACAAAAAAAATACCACAGATGATTTCAAACTATACAAGTCAGGTATTATGGGGCTACACCCACCAGACTTGCCATATTTGTGAATCCTTGAGAAAACTTTGAGCTGTGCCTCAAAAGTATTTAAACCAAAGAGCTGTGTCTCTGAAGTATTTAAAGTATTATGACATTTAAAGCGCACAGCTACATGGCGAAGCAGTAACACGTGAAAGATGCTCCTCCTCTACCCTTCAACTTCTAGAAACAGCTGCTAGGTCAGCAGTGGCATAATGTGCCCAAGGTGGTGGCTTTCCCACACCAGTGCCACCGTGAAGGGGCTCTCTGCTGGACGGATTCAAATATCCCATTTCTTGCTGAACAATCTTGGATTCAGTAAAACTTTAGGGCCCTTTAATATAGGGAGTTAGAATAAAAAAAATAAAATTTTTCCAACAGGATTGAAATGGAACGTGAGATTTGAAACCACATGGTAAAGGAATAGAACATATTAATTACATATAATCATTTATGTTTGTATTTATGCATCTATATCTTTTCTATCTATAAACCTGAAACTCTGGGAGGCACAAAACAAGGGAACACGAACTTTTGCTTCTGTATTTCCATACAGCACAATCCCAGGCATGGAATAAATGTGCTGTGCTAAAATGATAAATAAGGATATCTAGTTATAGATGCATATTCATGCCAATGTTGCCTAATGGCACAAAAATTTTGAATGATGATCGGGTTCAGGGTTCTTGGAAGTCACATTTTTGCTCTTACAGCTGCACAGTTTCATTACTTTACAGCCATTATTTGTCCCTCCCTGCAGTTTTTCATTTAGCAATGTTAATTTCATCTTGTACCTTCATACCAGTCTTCAGGGCTAACAGGGTCAATGCGTATATACCTCTGCTGTTCAAGGTATGGTCCATGGACCGATAGCATCTGCATTGCCTGGGAATTTGTCAGGAATGAAATTCTCACCCCGAATTTTAGACCTAATGAGTCACACCCATCAGTCTGAGAACTGCTTGTGTATACTGACTTCTTAGCTAGGACTATCATACTCTTTTGCTTTTTTATTCTGACTTTCCTATATTCATGCCCTGCCTTGAATCATGTGTCTCTCATAAATCTCATTTGATTATTCTTCTCAACTTTTTATATAGGTTGCATATACTTCTTCAATGTTAGCTGCTTCAGCAAGTTATTTTATCTATTTTTAACTCATAGAAATGATAAAGAAGGGGGAAATGCACACAGGTCCTTGTAAAGGGTAATGTTAGTAAGTGTGCGCAAAATACAACATTACAAGATCCCTTCCTATGGTGAGTACAGAGAGCTGCAAATGATTTTGGTGATGCTCATTTTCAATGAAGAGGAAAGAAGGTAACCAAATTTGGGAATGTGCTATTTCTTTCATGGAGAACCCTGTGTAAATTTTCCCAATATTTTTCTGTTTTGTCCTTTCTGAAAATGAAGAGACACTGGAAAAGATAAGTCAACATAAAAAGTATATGATTTTACACGGTCCTCACAGTTTAAAATAAAGTTAAACAATGCTGCTGTGCTCTCAGTCCTCTTATTGCCATGCCCCCCACAAAATACAATTCATTAGTCTGCAAAGAAATCTTAGGCAATTAGACCTATTAATGTACAAATGGCCCACAGTGCCTCCTTTCACAAAACACACTGGACAAGTATTATGGTTTTTAAGAGAGAAAGAAAAATTGTGACTATATATCCATGGTCAGAATAATTCTGAGCTAGGTATCCACGTTTAATCTGACTCTGGTAGTTTGGAATATTCCCTTACATCACTTTCTTTTGTGCTAATGGCTTAATAAGTTTAGGATCATAAACATGAAACTGATAGACATTTGTAAATGGAGATGAATTTATCAGTCTTCTTGCTGCAAATTATTCATATGCAGTCAGAGGTAAGTACAAGGTACAAGGTAAGTAATCAAATGATATAATGACACTATGTACACTTAAATGAATAAAAAGACACTTCAGAGTTCTCAGGGAGAAATTGCATGAGAAGCCAGTATCTTGCGGTAGAAAGAAAACTCACTTAGAAATCAGGAGACCCAAGTCTTCTCCAAGGTTTGCTAATATGTGAGTATGGAATAATAATTTCACATATTACATTTTCTATTGTAATACTTTATTTATATACACATATTTATTTTTTGTAATACTTTCTATATAAGGCTACTCTTGAATATATGGTTCCAATTTTATACTCTTACCTATAATATCTAATTTTACGGTGTTTTATAGTTTTATCACAGGATACGTAGTGGTGTAATAAATTACAACTATATTTTGGCAAATATAAAACATATTTATATAGACACATTGTTAATATGACATTATCGTCATCCTTTGAGGCACTACACTTTTCTTCAGTGTACTCACATCCACGCTCCCTTTGTGTGGGCCTCCCAATTTTATTTATTATCTTTCTTCTTCTCTACAACCACTCTCCTAGAAAATAATTATCTTAAAGATGCCACTCCTTTAGCCAACAGTGATAAATATATCAGTATTTGTGTAGGACAGTGAGTAATAACTCATGACAGGCTTTATTTGTCTGAAATTTTGGGTTTTAAGAACCAAACATTAAGACATGAAGCTCTGATAGCATTGCCCCATTACTCTTAATAACATCTCATCTAGTAGACAGACTAATGTGATTTTCATGGCTTTTAATTTGAAGTCCATCAGATTACATGCATCAATAAAAAGACCCGGCATCAGAGTCTGCACAAGGCTTGGGAGAAACGGAATCTCCATAATGAAATCCCTTGAAAGGCTTATCAGTTACTAACACCAGGTAAAATGCTAAGTAACACGCAGTCAGAAAATCAATATCTATTCATGTAGACTTTTTTCTCCTGCAATAGAAAGATAACATTAACATCCCAACATATTAAAACACTTTGTTTATACTGCTTTTGGTATGGAACTACATAATTAAAACATTTCAATCTCTGAATATTTGCAGGATGATGTGGCATGAAGCCACATGAAGTCAGAATATTCATTTGGAAGTATATAGCACAGACCTTTGGAAATCGTTTCTTTCACTTGCTGTTTGTTTCAGTCCCGTTTCTCCCTCCCTGCCCTTTGATTCCATGCCGGGGTACTTTTGGAAACTTTATGATTTCGTATGGCTTCTGCCATTACCAAACTCAGGCAGAAAAAGAGATTGCCTATCAAGAATTATTTTCTTGGTTCGGACCTGAAATTAAGACACTTGGATTTGTTAGGCGTGGTACCCTAGGAAGGCCTTTATTAAAAATAGAATATGCTGTTTTAGAAGAGGAGCCCTATTAATATTATCATGCCCATGGTCACTTTATCATGAATTTTGGTTATTAGCTTAGCAAGTATCTTTTCAAGGTCTTAAGCCCATGGATTCCAGCACTGTGTGACTGCATAATGACTTGGTCAAGGGCAAAAACATCCCTTATAGATTCTAGAATGGTCATACTGACAAATTAGAATCCTGGAAATTCTATTTCCCTGTTCGTCTTTCTTATAACCTGCAGTACGAACACTAGTCCTACTGTTTTATGTTCTCTAGACAAAATGGTTTCCAACCTCCAAAAAATTAAACTCTGTAACAACTGTTGTATCCTGAAGTTACTTATCTGGCTAATTTACTATCTCAGAAGATGACTGAAATGTGTGTGTGTGTACTTGCACACACAGGCAGCGCAGAAATTCTTCAGCTAATCCATAGAAAATTAAACATTTTTGACTGCATAATGTGTATACTCCTTTTTCATTAATCTATCTCATATTGAGAAGAAAAAAAAATCTATACTGACTGTTGAACACATTGCTCCAAAATCCCTGAAAAACTATAAAAAGATATTCTTATTGACATAGAGCTTCTGGTGAATTCTTGACTGTCCTTAATTCACAGAAGATGCAGGGTGGGCTTTGCACGTCAAAAGACAGTGTTAGAGGGAGGTGGTTGCAATGAATTATCCTTGCTGGAACTGGAAGTTGAGGAGGGATAGAGAACTGACATCATTATGTCTGTAGAAATCACTTAGGGAATTGTATTTTTTGCTCTGTCGCTCTGGGCTAGCATTTCGCTTTCCATTCTTGCCATGTTAAAATCAGTGTTTTCAATAACTGATACTATTATTCCAATGCCTATAGGCTCTACCAGTCTATGGCCAACTGTTTTGTCTCTACTGATGCCATAATAATTTTCTGTTCTCCAGAACCCACCCTAGGCTTATACATTAGAAATAACCTAATCGTGCTCTTCCCATCCAGAGTACACACTTGCTTCTTTGAGATTAGGGTATAAAAAATACTATTTCCTCATTGTCTCAGTCAAATAAACTTCTCAATAACATGATTTCCAAGAATATAACTCCTCTCTCCATAAACTGAAAGTTGCACAACATTACAAATGTTTAGTAATTTTTTTATAATTTATCAATTCCTAGAGATAATCTCTTTATATTTATATAACTAAACTTATTATTTATTTCCAAACCATTAAAACATGTGACCCAAGTAGTATATTGTTTCTTCTTTTAGAGTAATAAACATCAATGGCCACAACAACAATAAAAAAACTAGCAAACCATTGAAAAATATTTTCTATATGTCAATATTGGAGTCTGTTCTCCAAACATCCCATTAAAATTAATCTGTTGACTGAAGTTGGTTGATATATGATTAAGAAAAAAATTAATTAAAGGGATTGTTTGGGTTTGCTATGCTCTGATGGAGTATGTTGTGTGGAGCCAATGTCATATATCACTACGCATTGGTCGGTGCAGATATGCAAGTGTTTTCTGACACAAATAAAGTTATTACAAATAAACCAAGGTAACCCTAACTACAGGAAGGGGAGTGCCTACTAATCCATGAGTCATGATTCCATCTTAGCGGCTGTGTTTCACTGAAGTAAATACTAGGCTGAGTTACAGAAATTGAAGCTAATAAATATTAAATTACTTACTGAAGATGGGACAGCTGCTGCTCCAAAATAGAACTCATACCTAGGTTAGTCTGAACCACACTGGTGACTTTAATTTACTGGAGATAAAGTATAGTAAATTTTATTTATTTTTTATCATACTTTAAGTTCTAGGGTACATGTGCACAATGTACAGGCTTGTTACATATGTATACATGTGCCATGTTGGTGTCCTGCACCTACCAACTCGTCACCTACACCAGGCATTTCTCTGAATGCTATCCCTCCCCACTCCCCCGACCCCACGACAGGCCCCAGTGTGTGATGCTCCCTGCCCTGTGTCCAAGTGTTCCCCCTGTTCTACTCCCACCCATGAGTGAGGACATGTGGTGCTTGGCCCACTGTCCCTGCGATAGTTTGCTCAGAATGATGGTTTCCAGCTTCACCCCATCCCTACAAAGGACATGAACTCATCCCTTCCTATGGCTGCATAGCATTCCATGGTGTCTATGTGCCACATTTTCTTAATCCAGTCTATCATTGATGGACATTTGGGTTGGTTCCAAGTCTTTGCTATTGTGAATAGTGCTGCAACAAACATACGTGTGTATGTGTCTTTATAGTAGCATGAATTATAATCCTTTGGCTATATACCCATTAATGGGATGGCTAGGTCAAATGCTATTTCTAGTTCTATATCCCTGAGGAATCGCCACACTGTCTTCAACAATGGTTGAACTAGTTTACACTCCCACCAACAGTGTAAAAGTGTTCCTATTTCTCCACATCCTCTCCAGCACCTGCTGTTTCCTGACTTTTCAATGATCGCCATTCTAACTGTTGTGAGATGGTATCTCATTGTGATTTTGATTTACATTTCTCTGATGGCTACTGATGATAAGCATTTTTTAATGTGTCTGTTGGCTGCATAAATGTCTTCTTTTGAGAAGTGTCTGTTCATATCCTTTGCCCACTTTTTGATGGGGTTGTTTGATTTTTTCTTGTAAATTTGTTTGAGTGCTTTGTAGATTCTGGATACTAGCCCTTTGTCAGATGGGTAGATTGCAAAGATTCTCTCCCATTATGTAGGTTGCCTGTTCACTCTGATGGTAGTTTCTTTTGCTGTGCAGAAGCTCTTTAATTAGATCTCATTTGGCTTTTTTTGCCATTGCTTTTGGTGTTTTAGTCATGAAGTCCTTGCCCATGCCTATGGCCTGAATGGTATTGCCTAGGTTTTCTTCTAGGGTTTTATGGTTTTAGGTCTAACATTTAAGTCTTTAATCTATCTTGAATTAATTTTTGTACAAGGTGTAAGGAAGGGATCCAGTTTCAGCTTTCTGCATATGGCTAGCCAGTTTCCCCAGCAACATTTATTAAACAGGGTATCCTTTCCCCATTTCTTGGTCAGGTTTGTCAAAGATCAGATGGTTGTAGATGTCTGGTATTTTTTCTGAGGCCTCTGTTCTGTTCCATTGGTCTATGTCTCTGTTTTGCCATGAGTACCATGCTGTTTTGGTTACTGTAGCCTTGTAGTATAGTTTGAAGTCAGGTAGCATGATGTCTCCAGCTTTGTTCTTTTTGCTTAGGATTTTCTTGGCAATGCAGGCTCTTTTTTGGTTCAATATGAACTTTAGTTTTTTCCAATACTGTGAAGAAAGTCATTGGTAGCTTGATGGGGATGGCATTGAATCTATAAATTACCTTGGGCAGTATGGCTATTTTTCACGATATTGATTCTTCCTATCCATGAGCATGGAATGTTCTTCCATTTGTTTGTGTCTTCTTATTTTGTAGAGCAGTGGTTTGTAGTTCTCCTTGAAGAGGTCCTTCACATCCCTTGTAAGTTGGATTCCTAGGTATTTTATTCTCTTTGAAGCAATTGTGAATGGGAGTTCACTCATGATTTGGCTCTCCGTTTGTCTGTTATTGGTGCATAGGAATGCTTGTGATTTTTGCACATTGATTTTGTATCCTGAGACTTTGCTGAAGTTTTTGGAGATTTTAGGTGGAGACAAGGAGATTTTGGGTGGAGACGATGGGGTTTTCTAGATATACAATCATGTCATCTGCAAACAGAGACAATTTGACTTCCTCTTGTCCTAATTGAATACCCTTTCCTTCTTTCTCCTGCCTGATTGCCCTGGCCAGAGCTTCCAACACTGTGTTGAATAGGAGTGGTGAGAGAGGGCATCCCTGTCTTGTGCCAGTTTTCAAAGGGAATGCTTCCAGTTTTTGCTCATTCAGTATGATATTGGCTGTGGGTTTGTCATAAATAGCTCTTATTGTTTTGAGATATGGCCTATCAATACCTAGCTTACTAAGAGTTTTTAGCATGAAGGCTGCTGAATTTTGTCAAAGGCCTTTTCTGCATCTATTGAGATAATTATGTGGTTTTTGTCTTTGGTTCTGTTTATAAGCTGGATTACTTTTATTGATTTGCATATGTTGAACCAGACTTGCATCACAGGGATGAAGCCAACTTGGTCGTGGTGGATAAGCTTTTTGTTGTGCTGCTGGATTCGGTTTGCCAGTATTTTACTGAGGATTTTTGCATCCATGTTCATCAGGGATATTGGCCTAAATTCTCTTTTTTTGTTGTGTCTCTGCCATGCTTTGGCATCAGGATGATGCTGGCCTCATAAAATGAGTTAGGGAGGATTCCCTCTTTTTCTATTGATTGAAATAATTTCAGAAGGAATGGTATCAGCTCCTCTTTGTACCTCTGGTAGAATTCGGCGGTGAATCCATCTGGGTCCTGGACTTTTTTTGGTTGGTAAGCTATTAATTACTGCCTCAATTTCAGAGCCTGTTATTGATCTATTCAGAGATTCAACTTCTTCCTGGTTTAGTCTTGGGAGGGTGTATGTGTCCAGGAGTTTAATTTCTCCTAGATTTTCTAGTATTTGCATAGAGGTGTTTATAGTATTCTCTGCAGGTAATTTGTATTTTTGTGGGATCAGTGTTGATATCCCCTTTATCATTTTTTATTGTGTCTATTTGATTCTTCTCTCCTTTCCTCTTTAGTAGTCTTGCTGGTGGTCTATTTTGTTCCTCTTTTCAAATATCAGCTCCTGGATTCATTGATTTTTTGAAGGGTTTTTTGTGTCTCTATCTCCTTCAATTCTGCTCTGATCTTAGTTATTTCTTGCCTTCGGCTAGCTTTTGAATATGTTTGCTCTTGCTTCTCTAGTTCCTTTAATTGTGATGCTAGGGTGTCGATTTTAGATCTTTCCTGCTTTCTCTTGTGGATATTTAGTGCTATAAATTTCCCTCTACACACTGCTTTAAACGTGTCACAGAGATTCTGGTATGTTGTGTCTTTATTCTCATTGGTTTCAAAGAACATCTTTATTTCTTCCTTCATTTTGTTGTTTACCCAGTAGTCATTCAGGAGCAGGTTGTTCAGTTTCCATGTAGTTGTGCGGTTTTGAGTGAGTTTCTTAATCCTGAGTTCTAGTTTGATTGCACTGTGGTCTGAGAGACAGTTTGTTAAGATTTCTGTGTGGTTTTTTTTTTGTTTTGTTTTGTTTTTTTTGTACATTTGCTGCGGAGTGCTTTACTTCCAACTATGTGGTCGACTTTGGAATAAGTGCGATGTGGTGCTGAGAAGAATGTATATTCTGTTGATCTGGGGTAGAGAGTTCTGTAGATGTCTATTAGGTCTGCTTGGTGCAGAGTTAAGTTCAAGTCCTGGAATCCTTGTTAACTTTCTGTGTCGTTGATCTGTCTAATGTTGACAGTGGGGTGTTAAAGTCTCCTGTTATTATTGTGTGGGAGTCTAAGTCTCTTTCTAGGTATCTAAGGACTTGCTTTATCAATCTGGGTGCTCCTGTATTGGGTTCATATATATTTAGGATAGTTAACTCTTCTTGTTGAATTGATCCCTTTACTATTATGTATTGGCCTTCTTTGTCTCTTTTGATCTTTATTGGTTTAAAGCCTGTTTCATCAGAGACTAGGATTGCAACCCCTGCTTTTTTTTGGTTTTCCGTTTGCTTGGCAGATCTTCCTCCATCCCTTTCTTTTGAGCCTATGTGTGTCTGTGCACATGAGATGGGTCTCTTGAATACAGCACTCTGATGGGTCTTGACTCTTTATCCAGTTTGCCAGTCTATGTCTTTTAATTGGAGCATTTAGCCTATTTACATTTAAGGTTAATATTGTTGTATGTGAATTTGATCCTGTCATTATGATGTTAGCTGGTTATTTTGCTTGTTAGTTGATGCAGTTTCTTCCTAGCATCGATGGTCTTTACAATTTGACATGTTTTTGCAGTGGCTGGTGCCAGTTGTCCCTTTCCATGTTTAGTGCTTCCTTCAGGAGCTCTTGTAAGGCAGGCCTGGTGGTGACAAAATCTCTCAGCATTTGTTTTTCTGTAAAGGATGTTATTTCTCCTACACTTATGAAGCTTAGTTTGGCTGGATATGAAGTTCTGGGTTGAAAATTCTTTTCTTTAAGAATGTTGAATATTGGCCCCCACTCTCTTCTGGCTTGTAGAGTTTCTGCTGAGAGATCTGCTGTTAGTGTGATGGGCTTCCCCTTTGTAGGTAACCCGACCTTTCTCTCTGGCTGCCCTTAACGTTGTTTCCTTCATTTCAACCTTGGTGAATCTGACAGTTACGTGTTTTGGGGTTGCTCTTCTCAGTGAGTATCTTTGTGGTGTTCTCTGTATTTCCGGAACTTTAATGTTGGCCTACTTTGCTAGGTTGGGGAAGTTCTCCTGGATAATATCCTGCAGAGTGTTTTCCAACTTGGTTCCATTCTCTCTGTCACTCTCAGGAACACCAATCAGACGTAGATTTGTTCTTTTCACTAAGTCCCATATTTCTTGGAGGCTTTGTTTGTTTCTTTTTACTCTTTTTTTCTCTAAACTTTTATTCTCATTTCATTTCATTAATTTGATCTTCAATCACTGATACCCTTTCTTCCAGTTGATCGAATGGGCTACTGAAGCTGGTGCATCTGTCGCATAGTTCTCGTGCCATGGTTTTCAGCTCCATCAGGTCCTTTAAGGTCTTCTCTATGCTGTTTACTCTAGTTAGCCATTCATCTAATCTTTTTTCAAAGTTTTAAAGCTTCCTTGCAATGGGTTCGCACATCCTCCTTTAGCTCGGAGAAGTCTGTTATTACTGATCTTCTGAAGCCTACTTCTGTCAACTTGTCAAAGTCATTCCCTGTCCAGCTTTGCTCCATTGCTGGCGAGGAGCTGCATTCCTTTGGAGGAAAAGAGGCACTCTGGTTTTTAGAATTTTCAGCTTTTCTGCTCTGGTTTCTCCCCATCTTTGTGGTTTTATCTACCTTTGGTCTTTGATGATGGTGACCTACAGATGGGGTTTTGATGTGGATGTCCTCTCTGTTGATGTTGATGCTATTCCTTTCTGTTTATTAGTTTTCCTTCTAACAGTCAGGACCCTGAGTTTCAAGTCTGTTGGAGTTTGCTGGAGGTCCACTCCATATCCTGTTTGTCTGGGTATTACCAGCAGAGGCTGCAGAACAGCAAATATTGCAGAACAGCAAATATTGCTGCCTGATCCTTCCTCTGAAAGCTTCGTCTCAGAGGGGCACCCACCTGTATGAGGTGTCAGTCGGCCCCTACTGGGAGGTGTCTCCCAGTTAGGCTACTTGGGAGTCAGGGACCCACTTGAGGAGGCAGTCTGTCCGTTCTCAGATCTCAAACTCTGTGCTGGGAGAGTCACTGCTCTCTTCAAAGCTCAGCTCTCCAGGCTGCCTCCTGCTGCTGCCCGATTCCGCATCTAGATTGAGCGGGAGCTGCAGTGGGCTCCACCGAAGTACAGTAAATTTTATAGAATCAGTAGGTAGATAACATTTAACTATACATGTAGAGGTAATGTCCAAAGCAACCAAATAAACAATCATAAAAATAATGAGGAGGGGAAGTTGAAGAAGTAGAAACAGCAACTCATTATTGGTTCCAGGCACTGTTGTAGTTGTTTTACACACTTTATAATAGAATCATCATAATACTGTAATTTTAAAGGTCACATATTTATATCCTCCTTTATCAGTGAAGAAATTGTAGTTCAGAGGTTAAGTTTCTAATACAAGGTCACACGATGCTTTGCTGACCCAGGATTTGAACCTAGCAAAAGGTATGAGTAACTATGAGAGACTTATACTCTATACTGAGACTCCTAAAATGTTAGGAATCTGACATTTAGATGTACATTAAAGACCTTCTACTTCATGATAGTATCTCAGGTATTTCTCAGCTAAAAAGGTCTTTTTCCATATAAAACTGAAAAGATTCTTTAAATCCATTTAGCTCCTTCAATTTGTTACTGCACTGCATCTTTCTTAGTGGATTGTTTCTACCCTTATCCTTTATAAATCATGCCATCAGCTGCAAGATTTCAGATTCACATAATATACTCTGCCTAGTAGAAAACCCCTGTAAAAAGCTTATAGACGTATCAAATACTAAATGCACAAAGCAGAGTCCACTATCGTTACCTTTATCCTAGTTCTAGTAGCACTACCTTAAACTGGTTTTAATCCTTGTATTTTCTATCTTGGTATATGTGCCAAAATCCACCTTGCCTCTCAAGTCAAAAAATGGACAGTAAATGTTGCCCACTCCCTCTATCCTGTTTTTCACATTCTACCCCTGTAGATTCTGTCTCATTTTCTCTTCTGTTTTCCCATAAGTTGGTTTACACTAGGCTTCCTTTATTTCTTGTCTGACTGAGGGAAGAACCTTGTGATTTTCTCCAAATCTGGGATTATTTTCTCCACATTTGGGTGGGCTTTACCTATGGCTGCAGAGCTGGCTGGATCATTTACCTATCACAGAAGCTTAATATTCAACAAAGCCGCTTACATCTGATGACGTTAATATTCAATAAAGCCGCTTACATCTGATGAAGCCCTATAATGGCCCTGAACTCAATCTGGTCTGAATCCAACCAGGTCTACCACAGTTTTCCCTTCTTCACCTCGTGGAATGATTTTAATGTCTTAATAAATAATATCTTCATGGAACCTGGAACTAATGCTGAAATGCCAAGAAATATGTTAGAATTTTTTACCCAGAAAGCCTAACACAATGCTGTGTACATCTAGTACAACATTCTACACATACAACTACTTATGCTTGTTTATATCATTCTAAATTTTAATTGTTAGAGTGGTTTGTGCCATTTCTACTCATGTTGAGGTAGAATAAAAGAAATGTTATGGGTTACCTTTAGTTGATGTCAATTCCCTTGCACCTTAAACACAATAATCTCATGGTTATGTTGAAAAGGTATTTTTGGTGCCATACAGCTAGGTAATGCACATCAAATCCAATATCCTATTTGTCGGACCTCCAAAGTTAAAGGAAACATAAGTGGGTGATTTTTAGGTTACTGACCAGCTTAGTAATAACAACAACAAAGAAAACCACAGACTCAGAAATTAAATTTGAAAAGATATATAAACTATTCAAAGTCATTAGAAGTATAAATGAAAAAGTTATTAACAAAATATACTGAATGCTTTCTTAAAATTTTTCATATAAATGTTTCTCCTAAAAGTTTCCATCTTCATATAATGGCTAATATAATCTTCCCTCTCTTGTTCCCCAAATTCTCTTCTTCTCCACTCTTCTGTTATTTACCAAAATCACTCATAAGCAGCCAACATCTATTCCCCTAATATATATTCTCACAAGGAACAACTCAGCTAACTTTCATCCTCTGCTTTTCTTCCTTCCTTGCGTCACAAACAAAGCTGGAGAGTTTGCTCAATGATCAAAAAATTCTTCCTTTTTAAAAGATGAAGATAAAGGGATAGTCAGCAAATGTTTATAATCTAACTATTTGAGGTTTTGTTTAGCTCATTCAGAAACAGATTATATATAATATGCTGCATGATTTTATGTGTAATGTGTAAGCTCATTTACACACACACACACACATACACACACACACACATATATATATATACACACACACATGTTGTTTCCTTTTTTGGTAGAAAAAGAAGCCCAATACTTTTCAATGCAACTGGCAATCAGAATCCTCAGTGAAAAATAGAGAATTTTAAAAATGACCCTACACAGACTATTTTTGTTTTATCACGCCACCCCAAAGGACAATGTCCAAATTTTGGGTTGAAAGGGAAATGGAAAAATCATTTTTTCTCAGTGGCATATTCAATGTAGACTTTTGACAATGTCTGGCAAATTGAATAATTTCTGATTCAATTTATAATTAAAGGAATGCCTGGAACTCTCTTTTATCCCATTTTCCACACACTTTTATTCAGATAGAAACACAGCTATGTGCATCTGGCCCATTTATTGTGCTTATTTTAGAAAACAAGATAAAACACGTATATAAATCTACCCTATTATAGATTTGCCAAGGCCTGTAGTGTATTTTCTTGGAGAAAATGATTTTAGTATGGTCTTTGCTTATTAAATTCTGACAAGCATAAGTAACAGTCCCTTTTTCTGAGTGTGAAGAAAGAGGGACCTGTTCTAAGCTGGTAATGAATTGCTTTATCAATTAAATAATCACATTTATATATGATATTTGCCTGATCTCCCTAATAGTCCCTTCTCAAAGAGATAATATAGTATAGAGGAAAAAGGAAAGTAAGTCAACTGAACTCGTTTTGTATCTTAGACTTGTAATTATGTAATTCTGAGTTATTTATTTAGAATATTTGTACCTCCACTTGTACATCTAAATAGAGACATTAATTTTCAGATTTGTTATTAATATTACATATAGTGTTCATGGAAATGTCTATTATGTAGCATAAACAGTATCTATTTACATAATCAATATACTATTTCTTTAAATGAAGACCATTTGTAGTTGAATAAAGTGAAAAACATATCAAAATAAGTGTAGAGATAAGCTATCTAATAGCTTTTTCTTTTAGTTAGAGAAGGGGAGAAATTATCAAGAAATTACTAAGTGACTTCCAAAATTCAATTATTTGCAATATTTTCTAACTTCCAAACCTGAGGTGTCCCATCCACAAAGTAGGCTAACATTTCTCCATTTCAATTCACTATTTCAGCATTATTCTCCTGTAACCCATGTATTCACTTTAAATGAACAATAAAATAGCCAACAAAATGTTACGATTCTACAGGAGACAGCCTATTTATTAACAAGACAAGCAGGTATCCAAACCCTCTTTCTAGCACCATGTGATTTTTACTCACTGTCTTCTCACTGCAGCCAGTAAAAACTGAAAAGGAAGCATAATTGCTCACAGAAACAGTACGTCAATAAGGATATCTCTTGCTACTTCTCAGGGTTTCAGGAACTGTGTGATATTGATCAGAGTAATTATAGATTTGCCATTACCCTTTCAAATGTGAAATGGATGCAAAAGGCCCAATCAGTCAAAGGGTCAATGGGCAGTCATTTCTACCTAGATAGAGGTCACTTAAATGGTTTGTTCTTGGATATCACTCTTATTCCATCAATTCAGTTTCAGAAAATGAAACCGGATGATTAAGAGGTGCCCAGCAATGTGCAACATACAGGGGATACAAGAATAAACAACATATCAGTCATGGACGGAAAGACTCTCCAGGTTAATAGAGATAAGGAGAGGTAAATTAATTTTCATCATGATAGGTGTTGTGAGACGCAGTTCAAGGAAAAGTAGTGGCATAAAAAAAGCAGAAGCAATTAACATGCAGGATATTCTGGGGGACCATATGTGAAACGTTACCTTACAATGAGATTCTTTGATTCATTAGTAACTAAAACCTTTTAGGTGGGGTTACATACAGCCTGACTTTCTTTGTGTTAGATTTTTTTCTAATATAAATCCTGTTGCATTGGAACCTAATCTATTTTGAATCAGAGACAATAAAGAAGTGACTTTAAAAATTAGTTTCAGTAGTTTAAAAAAGGGCAAATTCAAGAAATGGGTAAGACATTCTCTGCTTATTTTGCCACTAAGCTGAAAAAAAGTCACATATTTTAATGTAAACAAAATGTGTAACATTGTTCGTGGACAAAGTCCATATTTTACCCGTCTTGTTTGTGCTATTAAACTGTCAGGATGATAAAATTCTAAACACATACAAATTTAATTTTGGCAAAGGCCCATGGCTATGATATATTAGTTGCTTTTTGCTAACATGCTGAAGTTGATGGGCACATTT
This sequence comes from Homo sapiens, assembly GCF_000001405.40. Classification (NCBI taxonomy): domain Eukaryota; kingdom Metazoa; phylum Chordata; class Mammalia; order Primates; family Hominidae; genus Homo; species Homo sapiens. Next base: position 116,341,792 of record NC_000002.12, read on the forward strand.
TAATTTGCTCTCCAGAATGGTTGATGAGAGCTTTAGTTGTCTATGTATATAATATAGAATTCTATAAAAATATCTTTATTATTATAACACTATATCCTCTTTCAGTTGAAGTAAAAGACTATTGTGTTGGCAGTTCTTCAGAGGGAATGTAAACATTTTCTATTTTTGAGTTTCATATGATATCATAATTTTCTACATTCAGAGAATCCTATCTTGTTTCTGGGAGCAGCCCTTCTTCCCTGTCTAGTTCTTATTAGACTATACCATGAACCTTCTTGTAATAAAGGCACAGTTTCTTGAGAGCAATACAACCCTAAATGTACAAAAATGTTAGAATTAGAATTACATTCATATGCAAGTTTCTGAGATGCTCTCCTGGGTCCATTTTCATTTTAATCAGGCTTTTTTTCCCCTAATTCCTCACATGAATATTTCTATTTCTTTTGATATTAAGGTATGGATGTGGTCACATTTCTGCTATCTGCTGGATCCCTGTAAATTCTGAGTGCCAATCCTATCTTTTTAACTATTATAACATATTTTTATGCTCTCCTTATCTTGCTTTGTTCTCTGAGCACCTCTTCTAAACCATTGAGATTCCAAACCCAGTCTCTTTAATTTGCCCTGGATTTTGGATCATTGCCCTCAGTTTCAAATTTAAGATTGGTAGATGCTACTTCAGCCTGTAATAGAGCCATAGATGATCAGCAATTAACACATATCATGAATGAGAAATACATCTCTATTGTGGTAAATCATTGAGATTTTTGAGGCTTTTTGTTACTATAGCACAATCTAGTAAAAGGTGAACAATTTGAACAATCAATACCCCAGTAATACCTTTAGCTGTAGATATTTTTCTATGCCAAGAAGGAGCATTCATAAGCCAAGTAATTTATCTCTTTCCTTGTTCCATGTGGATTGGATGAATAAGTGGATTCAGGGCTGTTGTTAGCACTATGTCTATAGTCATTTGAACTGGTTTCAGTTATCTTTAAATAGAAAAGGGAAATAAGAGGCTCACTTCTTCTGTCATTGATCCAAGGCAATGTTTTTTTAGGTTGGCAATAGCAAATTGCAAACTAGGCCAACTATTAATGACAACAAATTCTGAGTCCCCTCTGCTGGTGTTCCTTGATTATATTGTTCCATAAAACCCCTACAGAGCATGAGTCATTGGCGGGGAAGAATCTGAGAACTTCTGGATTCCCTAGCCTTCCTACAATTAAATATCATCAGCAGAGCATTCTTCACATCTTATATCTGTCTGGTGTGAAGTTTTAATCTTTGTCATCTCTATAATAATTATTAAAACCTAAGACATGACTTAGGAAAATGTTTTTACGTGTAGCTTATTTTTTCTATAAGTTCCTTTTTATGTTTTTGTAAAAATTTTAATTTAATAGCCTATCTCAACTAGATTAATGGAAATATAAGTACCAGATATTTTACTGTCATTTAATGTGTAAGTCAGCATTTTAAATACAGCAACATTCTGCTTGAACATGTAGGAAAAATTGGAAAGAGAATCAGTAGACTTTTGTAAAACTCAAAGGTTCCAAGTCTATTTAAATAGCTGTACTTTCCTACTGAACATTGTTCTTTTACAAATTGAATTTTTCACTTAAAATTCTTAAAAACAAAAAAATCAACAAATCCTGGCTCAAATAGCTTGACTGGTAAATCACTTTAAACACCTAAATAAGAATTGATAACAATTCTATGCAAATTCTTCCAGAAAATTAAAGAGAAATAAATACTTAATGTATTCTCTGAAGCCAACAGTACTCTGTCACCAAAGCCAGGAAAAAAAATTGCATGAAAAGATACAGACCAATATCTTATTGTGACCATGTCCTTTCATTTCTTGTGGGTAACTACCAGAAGTTATATCTTTTGTTAAGTATGTACATTTAACTTTATATTATGAAATGATTCTCTGTATCCCTGGTAATCCTCTTTAATCTCAAGTCTACCTTATCTAATATTACTATAGCTACTCTTTTGGTTAGAGTTAAGATGACATGTATTTTCTCATGTTTTTATTTTTCACCTATCTATATTTAACTGGGCTTTTTATAGGCAACATATGCTTTGATCCCTTTTTTTAATTGAATCTCTACCTATGTCATCAATTTCACAATACATTTTTCTATTTTTGCTTTAAAAGTCATTTTGCTTTAAAGCATGTTAAATGATAAAATCATGCATTTATATTTATCTTTGTAGCTACCATTTCCAGGGCTCTGCTTTCCATTTTGTTGATCCAGATTTCTGTTCTACTTAATTTTCCTGCTGCCACATGGACTTCTTTAAATGCTGTAGTTTAGGCCTACTATTGATGAGTTCTTTCAGTTTTTTAGGTCTCAAAGAATCTTTATTATTCCCTCATTTTTGGAAAAAATATTTTTTCTTTAAAAAATTTTAGGTTGACATTTGAATTCTTTAAAGATATTGCTGTACTGTTTTCTTCCTGTTTTTTGAATTGTGTCCAAAAAGAAACTATCTTCTTTACTTCTCAGTCCTTAATTTGCATTTTCTGCATGTTGTAAATATTTGTCTCTTCTCTAGATTATAATGCACTATGGAGAAGTATCTTCATATTTCATGTGCTTTGGGTTAATTGACATTCTTAGATCTATAGATTTAGAGCCTTCATCAAATTTGAAGAAAGGATGACTGTATTTCTTTAAATATTATTCTGCCCCCTTTTTCTCCTTGGACTTTAATTACATATTTACCAGCTACAAGTTTTTCACTGGCTCCAGAAGTTGTGTTTACTATTTTTCCCAGTCTTTTTCCTTTTTGTGTTTTATTTTGGATATTTTCTCTTGCTATGTATTCAAGTTCCCAAAACTTTTCTTCTGTAATATCTAATATGCTGTTAATCACAATCAGTACTTTTTAAAATTTCAGGTAATTTAGATTTTAACTCAAGAATTGTTCAGATCCCAAAAAGTGTCTGAGAACCTGCTGAGAAAAACAGTCTCATTGTTTAAACATAGTAGGCAAAGAGCAAAAAATTCAGCTTAAAAGTAGCTTAGAGATAAGAGGCAGCACAAATCTCTACAGCTGTCCTGTTGCCATCCAGGAGTGCCTCATATTTAAGTCTTAAGAAACTCATATCCTCGCCACACTGGACTTGTCCAAGTCATTTGTTGTTGTTGTTGTTGTTGTTTTTATGATTCTGGTTTTTTCTCATTTCGACTCATACTTTTTGACCGGATGCCGGGCATTTTGAACTTTATCTTATTGGCTGCTGGACATTTTTGCATTTCTATACATAATTTTGAGCTCCATTCTATGATATGGTTAATTGCTGGGTAACAGTTTGATCTTCTTTGTCTTGGTGCTAAAATTTGTTAGGTGGAACCAGAGCAGCATGTTGCCTAAAACTAATTTTTCACTCAATACGAAGCCATAATCCTTATCACTGCTTTACCCAATGCTTCTTGAATTATGAGATATTTTATTATGGCTAATAAAAACAGAATTATTCATAACTTTATGTCAGCAGTAGATTTTTTGCTTCTAATTCTTTTAGATGGTTATTTCCTCTCCCTTAGTTAGTTTCTTCACTTCTGCACTGGTAAGTCTTTGCCTTAAGACTCACTGTGCATTTTTCCAGAATTCTACGTGTAGCTCTCTCCTCTCTGTTACTCTGCCCTGCTTACTCTTTTCATCTTGGCCTTCCTGGGCTCTCGGCTTCATCTCATCTTCTTAGGGAGACCACCGGCCTCCAGCTGGGTTCCTCATCATGTGTCATGGTCTAAGAATTTCTCAGGTAGCTAAGTTAGGTAATCATAAGGCTCACTTCATTTGTTTCCCACCTTGCAGGTATCACTGTCATTCATATTTTGATGTCCACTACCTTGAAAACCATTGTTTTGTATATCTTGTATAATGTTTTATTTCATAAAGATGGGTATTTTTAATCTGTGTTGCTCCATGGTAGTCTAAAGAAGAAATCCCTTTACAATGGATTTTATTTCAAAAAAAGGCCTCCTCTATAAAGTATTTTCTTCATATATTAATCTTTTTTTCCGAACACATGTACAAATTAGTATTTTCTTGAGAGGGAGTAATTGTTTATTTTGTATTTTTACAGACTGACATGATTTTGTCATTGCCATAGTCACCGTATGGCTAATTTAGAATCTAGTCTCATTTCATCTTCCTTTCATCTTCTCTACCTGCCTCCTTTTGAAGACTACACACAGCATGAAAAAATCCTTTTATTCTCTCAAAACAAATATTCAGTCTTATTTGATATCCTTTTATTTTAGGTGATGCAGTCTTTTCTATATTGAGGAAGAGTCAATAAAGATGACTTTTGAATTATGAACTGAAATGTGTTACCCAGTGACATTCAGAAACCGGTTTTAGTTCCACCCTTTAGAGTTACAAAGCACCTATGGTACAGAAATTACCCCAAAGGGCTCTTCTTTGAAAGTCCACAGCTCTTCATCCTAAATATTCAAGCAAATAGCTGGTGACAATCTCTCAATATAGTATGGATTGTACTGTTACGTAGTGGAGCAAATTCTCAGATTCAGTAGAAGTTTCATCTAGATAAGCTTTAAAAGTTTTTCAAACACTGAGACTCCATGGTACTTATTTTCTGAGACATACATAGAGTATAGGAGCCTTAGTTCTTTTATGTGCCAATCACACAAAGAAAAAATATCAAAATAAAAAAATTTCATGTTTTGACTTTTTTATCCTAAAAACTAATAGTGGTATAGTATATGTATGTACATACATGTGTGTTTGTGTGTGTGTGTGTGTGTGTGTATATATATATATATATATACATGCACATATATGTATATTAATATATACAGATGCATATATATGTATGCATGTATATTAATCTGAATTAAACAGCATTCGAACAAAATATTCTACATCTAATCTATGACAAAGAAAGTCAACAAATTTAATATTTGCTATTTTGTATATCCTTGACAATGACATTCTCAGGTAAGCTTTGTTTTTAAGCATATTTTTCAACATATGCCTGACTAAATCCTGAAGGGTGAGTAGATGATGGTCAAAGGAGAGTGAGAAGAAAGTTGTCTATTTAGTGGTAGTATCATAGCATGAACAAAAACATGAAAAAGCAAGAGGCTTTGAGAAACCACAGCCATTTTGTATTAATCAAATGATGATGTGGGAAATGATTTTATGTTAGCATTATAATTCTACAACAATATTTTCAGCTTCTTGGTTCTGAACAATATGTTTACTCCTTGAAAGGAATAAACAAGTATGTAGAAATGTCAACTCTGATATGTTCTTAGGAGGCTGGAGACTGCTCTATCCAAATGAGAGTGACATTCTCTAGAAATCAAAGAGAGAAAAACAAAGGTAAAACGTGAAAGAAACTGGAAAAATGACCTGAAGAAAAATGGCAGAGCTGTATCATGCAGATGAACATAAGAGGGAACATATAAATTTATCTTATTAGATTTGAGCCCCCTATATTTTTATTTTTTTCACTCAAGTTCCAGTGAACCTAAGTGAATAAAGATTTACAAATAGCTTATTGCTCTGAGAAATGTCAGTATATTCTAAAATAAAAGGGGACCACAGTCTAAATCAAAAGGTGCTTTATTATAGTGACCTCCATGTGCTTTCATCTTCAAGTGTCTGCAATGCTGTATGTTTAATGTATTTGATTGTTAAAATGGAACTCATTCTGTCTTAGTTCAGCTGAGACTACAAAAAGTCGAGAGAGTGGGTACTTAGAACCCCTGCATCCTAAAGCAAGCTGCTAGACAACACATGTAGTGCAAGGTGAGGCTATAAAACCTGCTTCTACTAGCATTAAGGGTCGTTCACCCCATCTGTGAAATGGTGGGGTGTGAAGAGTTCATAGAGAGAGTCCCTTTGGATAGCAAAATTGGAATGCTATGCATTTTCCAAGCACTCTAACTTGCCATCCTCTCCATGGGGGAAGTGAGGAGGGCCTTTCCCACTCGAAACAAACAAGCCAGCAAACGACAACAACAAAACTGGACACCTGTTCACCCTTTAGAGTTCTAATAGTGTTTACCTCTCACCACAGACTGTCTAAAGATGAAAATCATCCTGGAGCTGCACCTAATAGCACTATAGAGAAGGAAGATTGAACTGAATTTCCTACTACACTTAAGTAAAGGTGAGGAAAGGAAGTAGTACTCCAAAGATCAGCATTATCAGTGGGAGAGAGTCAGCCTGGACTTTCTAATAGAGACCCTGCCAAAAAAAAAAAAGATAGCCAGGAAAGAAGAAGAGACAAACATTGAGAGAGCATGGAGGTGTGGGGTGGGAAGAGATGATAACTGCTGGAAGAGTAGGGGCTGGCTGAGGGAGGGGAATCTTAAATGCTTAGCCAGAGAAGAAGAGAACAAGCATGAGAATAATCTCTGAAAACAAATAAACAAAACCAATAGACAAAATAAAAACTCTGGAGAGAAAGAAACAACAATTACGTGTTCCACTTTCTGCAGAATAAATAATTGCCAGATTATAAAGGCAGGCACATAACACGCTCCTTCTCCTGGGGAGAGGATAACTAGGTGATAGGATAAAACAGACCACACCCATCCTACACTTCAGCATTCTAAGACTGAGGCATGTCCAAGGTAGGTGGGGGGTGGGATGGTTAAAACTGTTAAAAATTAATTGATGCTCAGAGAACTGCTTTTTTAAAAAATTTAACAATGGACATAGATATTAACCTATGAAGTAAGAATGTGCTTGGGACAGCAAGGAACAGAGATATGAGACATGCCTGCAGTTGCATTCAAAGTCAGAAAAAAGACCAAATCCAGACAGGCCTACAAAGGGACGAAGGCAAAAATAACATTGATTTACAGAGATAAAATAGCTAGGAATAAACCTAACTAGAAATACACATTATCTATGTAAAGAAAACTTTAAAATCCTTTTAAAGGGTTCAGAGGAAGAATTGAACAATGTTCTTGAGAGGAAGGCTAAATAACGAAATGATGCCAACTCTCTTTAAGTTGTGAAATTTAGCATGATACAAGTAATAATACCAATAGTTTTTCTCACATTCTTTGAGGTAGAAAAAGGGCTGGATAAAATACTTTGTTAGTTTACTTAAAAAATCATACAAAGAGATGCAAATACCCAAGAAATTTTAAACAAAGAACAGCAATACCCAGCCATAATAGATATTAGAACATATTTCCCAATAACTATGCAGGATGGACATAAATGTTATTGACATGAAATAATATTGTCTTTTTCTAGACAGACTCATGAGCAGAATAAGAAGTCCAAAAATAAGCCCAAATGTATATAAAGATTGAATATATTTTATAGGGCTGTCTCAAGTCCTGTGGATAATTAACTGAATCATTAGGTCAATGGTTTTAGGAACACTGGGAGTTATTTTGAAAAATTTGAAGGTGGAGCCATTCTTCTTTGTACATAATATCACAATGATTCCAAATGCATCACATATTTGAACATTAAAAAAATAAAAATCATAAAAATACACGAGAAAAACAGAGAAGAATTACTTTGTATCCTCCCAGGTGCTGAGGCCTTTCTATGATTCAAAATATAGAGGCTATGAAAGGTATTTTTTAAAGAATAAAGTCAACAACATTAAAAATATCCCATATATGAAGAAATACCACAACCTAAGCCCAAGAACAAATGAAAAGCTGAGAAAAACATTTGCAATGTATATTGTGAGGGATTAAGAACTGCCAGAAATAACTAAGAAAAATATTAACAAATCAATAGAAAAATGAACACAGGGTATGAACAGGTAATTCAAATAAATGGAAATGTAAATACCTCTTAAATATTACAGCATGCTCAGTCTCAATTTACTAAGAAAATAAAAGTAATATAATGATATTTATTTTTTATCAATCCACATGACCAAAATATGTAAGTCCAGTAACACCATGTTATTAAGGTTGTGTGGCAATATTTGCCATTGGGAATATAAATTTATAAAATTATCAAAAAGGAAAATTTGACTAACTCTCTTAGATGTGCAAATTCAAAGTGCCTTTTAACCCAGTAATTCTAATTCCTGTATTTGGCTCTATACAAATATTTTCATATATATGACATTATATAATTAAACCTGCCCAATAATGGAAGAGTTGTATTACACATTCATGTTTTCTAATCAATAGAAAAGAAAAAACTTTGGCTTTATTTCACTATGAAGAGCATGTCCTCAAAAACCAGCTGTCCAAGAGGGTAGCAGTTCTAGAGAAGCCTAATACTTTGAACATGTAGCTATCTCTGACCTCCAGGATATTCAGCAGTTTGTAGACAAACCATGTCTCATTGTATCTTTTTAGCATTTGGCAGGAGACCTTTTCAAATAGGTGTCCAACTATTGTTTGCTGATGAATAATAGATGGAAGAACAAAGTGCATTAGCAATAAAGCTATTTTTGTCACTCTATCATTTATAGCTGCATTTAGATCGAAAGCTAGGTATTATTGGGAATTGTCTACTCCCACTGGAATATGAGTTCCTCAAGGGGAGAGATCCTTACGGAATTATTATCATTGTGTTTCGAGCACCTAGAACATTGTCTTATACAAAGTAGACAACAAATACGGTTTAAGTGAGTGGAATAAATGAAGCAAACATCGTTTCATAGTCTATTTTGCACTGCCATATATTTTCCTTGATCTACCTGCCTCTTAATTTCTGTTTAACTCCTGGTTACCATCTGCACTTTGGATAGACACTTTCTAATATCTGACTATTCCCATTGGGGTCAGTTTTACACTGGTTCTTTTATTTAGAATAAGCAATTACTTTTAGAAATTTTAAAACTTAACAAAAGATTTTTTTCTCCATAAATAATATATAATTGAGGATTCTTCCTGAAAACATGCAAATATAAATTTATTTTGCTTTTAATTTATCTTGGACATTATTAAAGCCAAATGCATGTAGAATAGTTTCAGTGACTACACAGGATTTGTAAAAGCCATGGCTTCTTGGGTAATGGCAGTGAAGTCACAAAGATAAAAATATTAATTTTGCAGATTAGAACAGTAATTGAGGACATGAAAATTTCCCACAGTCATAAAAATACATAAACAAATGAAAATATGTTCTCCAGAACAATAATAACTCTCTCTACTCATGCCCTCCTGTTCCATATTTTAAGTGTCGTGTCTCTTTTGATCTTTCATTTATGGCTGAGTTACCTGATCTCTTAGTAAATTATTTAAAGACCCCACCAAATAGAACATGGGTTCTGTTAACAATAAAAATGTAAAGGCCGCTGGGATCAACACAAGGTCAAGTCTTTTTCTGCTGGAGTTAAGCTGTTCTCATATCTAGATAGTGTTATTGTCTCGAAGCCATTTTAGCAATGATTTGCTGGCTTTGTGGAGACCTTGTTTGTTAGGAGTACTCTATTTTAATGGCTACATTAAATTTGATTGTCCCATTATTTAAGGACCTGTCGTATTTTGTCTCTCAAAAAATGACAGCTATTGGTGACTAAAGATGAGTCCAACTCCATCCCTTCAAGTCTTTTACTGAAGGATGGCCACTAAATAAATAATAATTAATATTTAATAGAATAAACTGAATGATGAAAGTGCCTTTGAGCATGCTCTTCTTCATTCACTGTCCAACTACAATTTGTCACCTTCTAGTCAGAAAGCCTCTGCCTTGTTCTGATCCACTCCCTTTGGAGTCATAAACCACTGTTTCTTACTTCCGTAGCATCGTGAGAATAACTATCAGAACAAATTGCAATGTGTTATAATCATTGCCTAATTTGTCTGTAATATTCCAAATGAAAGGTTTTTAAAGATAGGGCCAGTAACTTTTACTTTTGTGTCTTTGAATCTACCACAGAATGTGGCAAATAAAAGCTCAAAACATAATTGCAAAAGGAAGAAACACATAAAAAGGATCTTTCAATTAAACCCAGAAGTGTGAACAAAAATGTATATAAATTGATGAATGCAAGGAATTATAATGAAAGTTGTAAACTACTGCTAATAGTTAATTTAACACTAAGCATGTTTTTATTAATACATGCATTCTAATATCAATTTATTATTTACCTAATAGTTGTAGCTAAAATTATATTTTTATTTTAAAGAAACTAACTTCCTTAGGTTTATGCTGTAAAATTTCTTTAGCAGCCTGGAGTCTCTTATGTGTGGGTGCATGCTGTCAATTACCTAGTAAAATGGGTTCATCATTACACCCCAGCACCAGGTACAGTAGATTCAGTATTATCAATAAAGAAAAGCTAACTTCTATTAAGAACCTGCTGTGTTTCTAACAACAGGTAAGCTATCATTTATTAAATATACCTTATTAGTTCATTTAACTTATAGGAATCCATATTTCTATACTTTAAAGAAGACAAAAAATAACTTCTCATTTTTACTGATGTATAGCATATAGAGTAGCGTACAAATCATAAGCATTCGTATCTACATGCCATCCACAATATACACTTGTAAATGAGTAGGAAATTATCACCATCCCAGAAACTTCCCGTGACCATCCTCAATCTTTACTTCTTTCTCCCCCTCAAAAAACTCCTATCCTGACATAGGATTCATATTTCCTTTATGGGCAAAATGTATATGTGGGAATATATTTATGTTGTATTTTATGTGTTTATTTGCAGATAACAGGTATGAAATTGCACATTATGTATTATTTTATCTTTTTTATTGTGTATGAGAGGCATCCATATTGTTCTACGTTATATGTGGGAGTAGTTTATTATCATGGCTGTAAAATATCTTAGTAATTGAATATTCCACAATATATGTACATAATTATATTGTTTATGACCATTTCATTTGTTTCCAATTTTGGCCTGTTATAAAAAGCACTGTCATACACATTTTTATCCATATTTTTGACACATATGTACATATACATATATTTCTGTTTGCTCTATTATCAAGGAGAGTGTGTGTATGTGTGTATGTATAAATGCCTGTTTATTCATGCTAGAAAATGAATTGAAATTAAGAAGTAAATGAAGTAATGAAACATGAAGTAACCTTTCATCCTGGTAAAACGTAAGGAAGAAATATATAGGAGATTCTAAGATTTACCATTCATTGATTAATAACTGAAACCCTGGCTAGATGACCTGGTGGTAATTCTGTCATTGGTATCAAGAAGAAATACAGAAATGAATAAGAAATAAATATTAATTTTAAAAGTACAGAGAAACATAAAAGTATCAAAGAAGGCTGTTTTACTGACTCAGTGCTGAATTTATAATTTACCCCAAGATGAGATATGGCTTTACTGTAGCCATTATGAAGCTTAAGCTTTCCACATATATTTTTAATTTACCCCCACAAAAAAACCCAGTCTGTTATTGTCCAAACATTACAAATAAGAAAACTAAGTCTTGGTGAATGTAGGTAGAATACTTAAATCAAAATTTATTAAGTCATAACTCACTGAAGAAAAAACTAACAGCTATATCTTCTTTGGGAAGTAGGGGGCAAATTAGTGTCAGGGTAAGAAAAAAATCCAAACGTAAATGATGTATAGCTGGAGGCTTAATGTGGGAAAGCCTGAGAGCTAAATAAAACAATATATTCAATTAAATATTCTTATGTGTGTGTGTGTATATATATGTGTTTGTGTGTATATGTGTGTGTGTGTATATATGTATATGTGTGTGTATATATATATGAAGTATATAGGTTTGCTTACATATGCTTATATGTAAGTAAAATGGAGGACAACAATGATACAAGTCATGGGAGGGAGGAACTAGGATTATTTTGTTATTTGAAAGTACACACTATCTATTGGTCAGTATAGTGTTATGTAAAAGGGGGCTTGGATTAGTAGTGAATCTATATTGCAAACTGTAGCAATCTACCAAAAAATGTATAAAAAAGGATACTTTGTATGCTAAGAAATGAGAGAAAATACAATTATACAAACTACTTAATTAAAATCACAAACGTTAAAAAAAAACGAAGACAAAATAGAAACAAAGAACAAAGGCAAAAAATAAAACAGTAACAAATAATTCAGCTATATGAGTAATCACTTTGAATGTCAATGGTCTAGATGTTCCAATGAAAAGACAAAAATTGTCAGAATAGATAAAAAATAAGACCAAACTATATATTGTCTATAAAAAATCCACTTAAAATATAAAGATGCATAGAGATTAAAAACAAATGGATGAGGAAAGATATATCATGCTAACACTAATTTTGGAAAATCAGCATATGTATATTAATTTCAGACCAAGCAGAATTCCAAGCAAATATAAAAGTTAAAATAGGTAAAAAGTCATATGACATGATGATAAAGGGGTGAATTCTCCAAGAAGAAATGGCCATCCTTAATGTGTGTTTAAATAAAGCGTCAGAATATGCGAAGCAAAAACTATTAAAACTGTGAGAATTGGATAAATCCAATATTATAGTTGGAGACATCAACAACCCTATATCAGAAATAGATCCAGCAGACAGAACATCAGTAAGCACACAGGTGAACTCAGTGAAACCATCAATTAACTGAATATAAATTGACACCTATAGACAATTTCATCCAATAGCAGCAGAATATAAACTCTTCTCAAGCTAACATGGAAGGAACATTTATCAAGATAGGCCACATTCTGGGCCATAAAACATACTTGAACACATTTAAAAGAATAGAAATCATAAAATGTCTTCTTTCAGACCACATGGAGTTCAACTAGGAATCAATAATAGTAAGATAACTGAAAAATTTCAACACACATAGAAATTAAACAATACACTTGTAAATAAAATATGAGTTGAAGAAATCTCAACAAAAATTAAAAAACGCTTTTGACTAAATAAAAATGGAAACACAATTTATCAAAATTATCCTGATTTGATTATTACACATTGTATACATGTATAAAAATATCACACATACCCCCAAAATACGTGCAACTATTGTAAATCAATAAAAATATTAGGATTCGTACACACTGTATACATTTATCAAAAGATCACACATACCCCCACACATAGCAAAATATGTGCAACTATTGTAAATCAATAAAATGTTAGGATTCAGCAAAAGCAGTGCTTAGAGGAAATTTATAGCATTGAATTCATATATTAGAAAAGAAGAAATATCTAAAATCAATCATTTAAGCTTCCACATTAGGAAACTAGGAAAAGTAAAGTGGATTGAATCCATGTGTAACAGAGAGAAGCAATAAGAATTAGAACAGTAACCAATAAAATTGAAAATAGGAAATCCATAGAAGAAAAAACCCACAAAATCACAAGCTTGTTCTTTTAGAAGACTGAAAAAAATGATAAGCTTTTGGCCAGGCTAAGTAAAATGGAGAAAAAACAAAAGTTACTATTGTCAGAAATGAAAGATAGAACATCATTACATATCTCATGGACATCGAAAGGATAAAAAAGAACAGTATGGACAACTTTAGGTTTTGTTTGTTTCTTTGTTTGTTTTTTGAGACGGAGGCTCAATCTGTTGCCTAGGCTAGAGTGCAGTGGTGTGATCTCGGCTCACTGCAGCCTCTGCCTCCCGGGTTCAAGCGATTTTCCCACCTCAGTCTCCTGAGTAGCTGGGATTACAGGCATGTGCCACCACACTCAGCTAATTATTTTGTATTTTTAGTAGAGATGGGGTTTCACCATGCTGGCCAGGCTGATCTTGAACTCCTGACTTCAAGTAGTCCACCCGCCTCGGCCTCCCAAAGTGCTGGGATTACAGGGGTGAGCCACCATGCCCATAGGCCCACGTATTTGATAACCTAGATGAAACGGGTCAGTTCCTTGTGTGTGGTGGGGGGGCGGGGGGGAGGGGAATATGCCAAAATTCACACAAGAAGAAATAGACAATTTGGATTGTCTTATATCTATTAAAAATTGAATAAAAAATTAATTACCTTGCAAACAGAAAGCACTAAGCCCAGTTTTGTTCACTAGTAAATTCTACCAAAGATTTAAGGAAGAGATTATACCAAGTTCTCTAAAATTTATATTAGAATATAGAGGCAGAGGTAATATTTTATAACTCATTCTATGAGGCCAGCATCATGCTAATACCAAAATCAGACAAAAGCCTTACAAAAAAGTAAAACCACAAACCAATAACTCTCATGAACACAGATGCAAAAATCCTCAGCAAAATCTTAGCAAGTTTAATCCAATAACGTATAAAAAGTATTACATACCACGACCAAGAGGGGCATCCCACGTAATGCAAGACTTATTCAGCATTCAAAAATCAATTAGCAGAATCCATCGTCAGAATAGACTAAAAAAGAAAAATAACATAATCACATCAATAGATGCAGAAAAAGCCTTTGATGAACTCCAACAACTGTGTTAAAACAAACAAACAAACAAACAAAAAAAACTCTCCGTGAACTATGAAGGAGGGGGACTTCCTCCACTTGATAAGGTATACCTACAGAAAACCCACAGCTCACACCACACTAAATGGAGAGAAACTAGAAGCATTTCCACTAAAATGAGACACAAGACAAGTATGAGTCCTCTCATTACTCCTTTTCAATATTGTACTAGCAGTCCTGGCTAGTACGATAAGAGAAAAAAAAATAAAGCGCATTGATTGGGAAGAAAGAAATAAAACTTTGATTGCAGATGGGTCTAAACAATGTCAAAAATCTGAAAGAATCAGCAAAAATCTCCTGGAACTAATACGCTTTATAGAAAGGTTAAAATATGAAAATCAACTTCTTTCCTATACACCATCAATGACGAAGTGGCATTTAAAACTGAAAACAATACTATTTATATTAACATTAAAAAATGAAATACTTAATCATAAATATAATAAAATATGTTTAAAATCTATATGAGGAAAACTATAAAATTCTGATCAAAGAAATCAAAGAATAACTAAATAAATGAAGAGATATTTCATGTTCATGGATAGGAAGATTCAATGTTGTCAAGGTCAGCTTTTCCAAAATTGGGCAATAAATTCAATTCAATTTTAATTAAAATCCTAGCAAGTTATTTTGTGCATATCAAACTGATTCCAAAATTTATATGTAGAGGCAAAAAACCCAGTATAGTCAATCCATATTGAAAATGTATAGAATTGAAGGAATGAAAATCTTGACTGTAAGATTTACTATGAAACTGCAGTAATTGAGAGATTGTGATACTGGTGAAAGATTAGCTAAACAGATTAATGGAACAGAATAAAGAGCCAAGAAATAGAACCATATAAATATAACCCACTGATCTTTTTATTTTTATTTAAGAATTTTAAGCTCCAGGGTACATGTGCAGGATATGCAGTCTTGTTACATAGGTAAACGTGTGCCATGGTGATTTGCTGCACCTTTCAACCCATCACCTCAGTATTAAGCCCAGCATGCATTAGCTATTTTTCCTAATGCTCTCCCTCCCACCACTGACAAGCCCCAGTGTGTGTTGTTCCCCTCCATACGTCCATGTGTTCTTACTGTTCAGCTCTTACTTATAAGTGAGAACATGCAGTGTTTGGTATTCTGTTTCTACATTAGTTTGCTGAGGATAATGTGTTCTAGCTCCATCCATGTTCTTACAAGGGACATAATCTCCTTCCTTTTTATGGGTGCGTAGTCTTCCATGTTTATATGTACCACGTTTTCTTTATCCAGTCTATCAGTGATGGGCATTTGGATTGATTCTATGTCTTTGCTGTTGTGAATAGTGCTGCAGTGAAATGGAATTGCTGGGTCAAATGGTATCTCTCGTCCTAGATCTTTGAAGAATCACCACACTGTCTTCCAGAATGGCTGAACTAATTTACATTCCCACCAACACTGTAAAAGTATTTCTACTTCTCTGCAACCTCACCAGAATCTGTTGTTTCTTGAATTTTTAATAATCACCATTATGACTGCTATGAGGTGGTGTCTTATTGTGGTTTTAATTTGCATTTCTCTAATGATCAGTGATGTTGAGCTGTTTTTCAAGTTTGTTGGCCTTATGAATGTCTTCTTTTGAGAAGTGTCTGTTCATGTCCTTTGCCCACTTTTTAATGAAGTTGCTTTCTTTTTTCTTGTAAATTTGTTTAAGTTCCTTAAAATTAACTCAAGATAGATTAAAGACTTAAATGTAAAATGCAAAACTATAAAATAAATCCCTAGAAGAAAATCTAGACAATACCATTCAGCACTTAGGAATGGGCACAGATTTTATAATGAAATCACCAAAATCAATTGCAATAAAAGCAAAATTTGATCAATGGGATCTAATTAAATTAAAGAGCTTCTGGACTGCAAAAGAACTATCATCAGAGGAAACAGGCAACCCACAGAGCGGGAGATAAATTTTGCAATCTACCCATCTGACAAAGGTCTAATAATCAACTGATCTTTTATAAATCAGCAGAGCCAAGACCATGGAACAAAGGTAGTACTTTCAACAAATAATACTGGAACAACTGTATATACACATACCAGAAAATAAATCTAGACAGAGACTATAAGCTGTGCATAAAAAGTAACTCAAAATGATCACAGGCCTAAATGTAAAATGCAAAACCATAAAACTACTAGAAGATAACACAAGAGAAAATGTAGGTAATCTTGTGTTTGATGATTACATTTTAAACATGAAATCAAAGGCACAATCCCTGAAAGAATTGATAGGGTAGGAGCTGGCAAGATGGCAGAATAGGAACAGCTCCAGTCTGCAGCTCCCAGCAAGATCAATGCAGAAGGTGGGTGATTTCTGCATTTCCAACTGAGGTACCTGGCTCATCTCACTGGGACTGGTTAGTGAGTGGAGCCCACAGAGGGCAAGTCGAAGCAGGGTGGGGCATTGCCTCAGCCGGGAAGCTCAAGGGGTTGGGGAACTCCCTCCCCTAGCCAAGAGAAGCCCTGGGGGACTGTGCAATCTTGGCTGTTCTGCAGATTCTGCTCATGATACCCAGGCAACAGAGTCTGGAGTAGACCTCCAGCAAAATCCAGCAGACCTGCAGCAGAGGGGCCTTACTGTTAGAAGGAAAACTAACAAATAGAAAGGAATAGTGTCAACATCAACAAAAAGGACATCCACACAGAAACCCCACCGAAAGGTCACCAACATTAAAGATCTATGGTAGATAAATCTATGAAGACAAGGAGAACCTGTGCAAAAAGGCTGAAAATTCCAAAAACCAGAATGCCTCTTCTCCTCCAAGGGATCACAACTCCTCACCAGCAAGGGAACAAAACTGGACAGGAAATGAGTTTGACAAATTGACCTGTAGGCTTCAGAAGGTGGGTAATAACAAACTCATCCAAGTTAAAGGAGCATGTTCTAACCCAATGCAAGGAAGCTAAGAACCTTGAAAAAACGTTAGAGGAATTGCTAATTAGAATAACCACTTTACAGAAGAATATAAATGACTTGATGGAGCTGAAAAATACAGCACAAGAACTTCATGAAGCATAAACAAGTATCAATAGCCAAGTCGATCAAGCAGAAGAAAGGATATCAGAGATTGAAGATCGACTTAATAAAATAAAGCATGAAGACAATATTAGAGAAAAAAGAATGAAAACAAATTAAAAAAAAAGCCTCTAAGAAATATGGGACTATGTGAAAAGACCAAACCTACATTTGATTGGTGTACCTGAAAGTGACAGAGAGAATGGAACCAAGTTGGAAAACACTCTTCAGGATATTATCCAGGAGAACATCCTCAATGTAGCAAGATAGGCCAACATTCAAATTCAGGAAATACAGAGAACATCACAAAGATACTCGTTGAGAAGGGCAACCCCAAGACACATAATCATTAGATTCACCAAGGTTGAAATGAAAGAAAAAATGTTAAGGGCAGCCAGAGAGAAAGGTCGGGTTACACATAAAGGGAAGCCCATCAGACTAACAGCATCTCTCTCTGCAGAAACCCTACAAGCCAGGAGAGAGTGAAGGCCAATATTCAACCTTCTTAAAGAAAAGAATTTTCAACCCAGAATTTCATATCCAGCCAAATTAAGTTTCATAAGTCAAGGAGAAATAAAATCCTTTACAGACAAGCAAATGCTGAGAGATTTTGTAACCACCAGGCCTGCCATACAAGAGCTCCCGAAAGAAACACTAAATATGGAAAGAAAAAAACGGTACCAGCCACTGCAAAAACATACCAAATTGTAAAGACCATCAACACTATGAAGAAGCTGCATCAACTAACAGGCAAAATAACCAGCTAGCATCATAATGACAGGATGAAATTCACACACAACAATATTAACCTTAAATGTAAATGTGCTAAATGCCCCAATTAAAAGACACAGACTGGCAAATTGGATAAAGAGTCAAGGCCCATCGGTGTGCTGTATTCAGGAGACCCATCTCACGTGCAAAGACAAATATAGGCTCAAAATAAAGGGATAGAAGAATATTTACCAAGCAAATGGAAAACAAAAAGAAGCAGGGGTTGTAATCCTAGTCTCTGATAAAACAGACTTTAAACCAACAAAGATCAAAAAAGACAAGGGCATTACATAATGGTAAAGGGATCAATACAACAAGAAGAGCTAACTATCCTAAATATATATGCACCCTATACAGGAGCACCCAGATTCATAAAGCAAGTTCTTAGAGACCTATAAAGAGAATAGACTCACACACAATAATAATGGGAGACTTTAACACCCCACTGTCAATATTAGACCGATAAATGAGACAGAAGGTTAACAAGGATATTCAAGACTTGAACTCAGCTCTGGACCAAACAGACCTAACAGACATCTACAGAACTCTCCACCCCAAATCAACAGAATATACATTCTTCTCAGCACCACATAACACTTATTCTAAAATTGACCACATAATTGGAAGTAAAACACTCCTCAGCAAATGCAAAAGAATGGAAATCATAACAAGCAGTCTCTCAGAACACAGTGCAATCAAATTAGAACTCAGGATTAAGAAACTCACTCTAAATCACCCAAATACATGGAAACTGAACAACATGCTCCTGAACGACTACTGGGTAAATAATGAAATGAAGGCAGAAATAGGTAAGTTATTTGAAAACAAGAACAAAGACACAACATACCACAATCTCTGAGACACAGCCAAAGCAATGTGTAGAGAGAAATTTATAGCACTAAATACCCACAGGAGAAAGCAGAAAATATCTAAAATTGATTCTCTAACATCACAATTAAAAGAACTAGAGAAGCAAGAGCAAAACAATTCAAAAGCTAGCAAAAGACAAGAAATAACTAAGATCACAGCAGAACTGAAGGGGTTAGAGACACAAAAAAGCCTTCAAAAAATTAATAATCCAGGAGCTGGTTTTTTGAAAAGATCAACAAAATAGACTGCTGGCCAGACTAATAAAGAATAAAAGAGACAAGAATCAAATAGACACGCAAAAAATGATAAAGTGGATATCACCACTAATCCCACAGAAATACAAACTACCATCAGAGAATACTGTAAACACCTCTATGCAAGTAAACTAGAAAATCTAGAAGAAATAGATAAATTTCTGGACATATACACCCTCCCAAGACTAAACCAGGAAGAAGTAGAATCCCTGAATAGACCAATAATAAGTTCTGAAATTGAGGCAGTAATTAATAGCCTACCAACCAAAAAAACCCCAGGACCAGACAGATTCACAGCCGAATTCTACCAGATGTACAAAGAGGAGCTGGTACCATTCCTTCTGAAACTATTCCAAACAATAGAAAAAGAGGGACTCCTTCCTAACACACTTTATGAGGTCAGCATCATCCTGATACCGAAACCTGGCAGAGAAGCAACAAAGAAAGAAAATTTCAGGCCAATATCCCTGGTGAACATCGATGTGAAAATCCTTAATAAAACACTGACAAACTGAACCCAGCAGCACATCAAAAAGCTTATCCACCACAATCAAGTTGACTCTGTCCCTGGCATGCAAGGTTGGCTCAACATACTCAAATCAATAAATATAATCCATCGCATAAACAGAACCAATGACAAAAAAACACATGATTATCTCAATAGGCGCAGAAAAGGCCTTCAACAAAATTCAACATGTCTTCATGCTAAAAACTCTTAATAAACTAGGCATTGATGGAACATTATCTCAAAATAATAAGAGCTATTTATGACAAACCCACAGCCAATATCACACTGAATGGGCAAAAGCTGGAAGCATTCCCTTTGAAAACCGGCACAAGACAAGGATTCCCTCTCTCACCACTCCTATTCAACACAACATTGGAAGTTCTGGCCAGGGCAATCAGGCAAGAGAAAGAAATAAAAGGTATTCAAATAGGAAAAGAGGAAGTCAAATTGTCTCTGTTTGCAGATGACATGATTGTACAGTTAGAAAACCACATCGTCTCAGCCCAAAATCTACTTAAGCTGGTAAGCAACTTCAGCAAAGTCTCAGGATACAAAAGCAATGTGTAAAAATCACAAGCATTCCTATACACCAATAATAGACAAACAGAGAGCCAAATCATGAGTGAAGTCCCATTCACAATTGCTACAAAGAGAATAAAATACCCAGGAATACAACTTAGAAGGGGTGTGAAGGACTTTTTCAAGGAGAACTACAAACCACTGCTCAAAGAAATAAGATAGAAACAAACGGAAAAACATTCCATGCCCATGGATAGGAAGAACCAATATCGTCAAAATGGCCATACTGCCCAAAGTAATTTATAGACTTAATGCTATCCCCATCAAGCTACCATTGACTTTCTTCACAGAATTAGAAAAAACTACTGTAAATTTCAAATGGAACCAAAAAAGAGACCATATAGCCAAGACAATCCTAAGCAAAAAAAAAAAAAAACAAAGCTGGAGGCATCCCGCTACCTGACTTCAAACTATACTACAAGTCTACAGTAACCAAAACAGCATGGTACTGGTACCAAAACACATATGTAGACCAATGGAACAGAACAGAGGCCTCAGAAATAATGCCACACATCTACAACCATCTGATCTTTGACAAACCTGACAAAAATAAGCAATGGGGAAAGGATCCCCTATTTAATAAATGGTGTTAGGAAAACTAGCTAGCCACATGCAGAAAACTGAAACTGGACCCCTCCCTTAAACCTTAAGCAAAAATTAACTCAAGATGGATTAAAGACTTAAGTGTAAGACCTAAAACCATAAAAACCCTAGAAGAAAACCTAGGCAGTACCATTCAGGACAGAGGCATGGCAAAGACTTCATGACTAAAACACCAAAAGCGATGGCAACAAAAGCCAAATTTGACAAATGGGATCTAATTAAACTAAAGAGCTTCTGCACAGCAAAAGAAACTACCATCAGAGTGAACAGGCAACCTACAGAATGGGAGAAAATTTTTGCAGTCTATCCATCTGACAAAGGGCTAATATCAAGAATCTACAAGAACTTAAACAAATTTACAAGAAAAACCCATTCAAAAAGTGGGCAAAGGATATAAACAGACACTTCTCAAAAGAAGACATTTATGAAAAAAGCTCATCATCACTGGTCATTAGAGAAATGCAAATCAAAACCACAATGAAATACAATCTCATACCGGTTAGAATGGCAATCATTAAAAAGTCAGGAAACAATAGATGCTAGAGAGGATGTGGAGAAATAGGAACACTTTTACACTGTTGGTGGGTGTGTAAATTAATTCAACCATCGTGGAAGACAGTGTGGCTATTCCTCAAGGATCTAGAACCAGCAATACCATTAGATTCAGCAGTCCCATTACTGGGGATATACCCAAAGGATTATAAATCACTCTACTATAAAGACACATGCACACATATGTTTATTGCAGCACTTTTCAGAATAGCAAAGACTTGGAACCAACATATAAGCCCATCAGTGATAGAATGGATAAAGAAAATGTGGCACATATACACTATGCAATACTACGCAGCCATAGAAAAGGATGAATTCATGAGTTCATGACATGGATGAAGCTGGAAACCATCATTCTCAGCAAACTAATACAGCAACAGAAAACCAAACACTGCATGTTCTCACTCATAGGTGGGAGTTGAACAAGGAGAACACATGGACACAGGGAGGGGAACATCACACACTGGGGCCTGTCAGGGGGTGGGGAGGCTAGGGGAGGGATAGCATTAGGAGAAATACCTAATGTAGATGACAAGTTGATGGATGCAGCAAACCACCATAGCACATATATACCTATGTAACAAACCTAGATGTTCTGCGCATGTATCCTAGAACTTAAAGTATAATAAAAAATTGATAAGCTTGACTTTATTAAAATTAAAAATTTCTACTCTGCAAAAAGACTGCAGAGGGAATGAAAACATGAGCCACAGAATAAGAGAAAATATTTACAAAATATATATTTGTTAAGGAACTGTTATCCAAAATATACAAAGAACTCTTAAAACAAGAAAATAACCAATTAAAAGTAGGCTAAACATATTAATGAGAATCTCACTGAAGAAGATATATAGATGAAAAATGAGCAGATGAAAAAAACTTCATATTACATGGACTTTGGATTATAATGATATGAAAATTTAGGTTTTTCAATTGTAACTAATGTACCATTTTGGTAAAGAATGCTGATAATGGAGTGAACTATGCTTGTGTGGGTTCAGGGATTATGTAGAAAAATAGTCATACCTTCCTATCAATGTAGTTGTGAACCTAAAACTCCTCTAAAAAACAGTGTTAAAGAAAAAAAAAAAAAAAAAATCTATTGGGTAGAAAATTTAAACTATAAATATCTACATAAAATTCAGAATAGGATTAAATTTTATTCAGAATATGATTAAATAAATGAAAAAGGCATGTCATAGACAATATGAATTATTTGAGATGGGAAAATATCACCATTGTCTTTTGAAATTCAGAGATATTATATATATTGGCATGTTGGCAACTGGGCTTTGTGAAGAAGGTATTTTCCTAAGATTAGAGGTTGATGGAAAAAGAAACAGGGCATCCCTTTCTTCTGCGGTTATAATAAACCCAGCCACTCTCAATAAATACAGATATGCTAGTAAATAAACCTCTAAATCAATGACTTTGAGGTTAGGAGAGCTTCTTCTGCTTTTTACTCTTAGGAGTTACCAGACTTTCAGTTAGAGTTATTAGTCACTTACAGCTCAACTGGGTAAAGAGTTGATTAGCGAGACTAGAGAAAAAAATAGTAAGGCCGGATTGTGATGAAGGGATTTACCAAGCCTTATAGAAGTGATACTTTGTTGAGATTAATGGGTGAGATCAGAGCAGAACCCAGTGAAAAAAATGAATTACATAGTGGATAAGAAGTGTCAGATAAAAAAGGAAGCCTAAATGTAAACCAACCAATGTGAGAAGATTGAGTTTCTTTTTAATTATGTGATCAAAATATCATGAGAAGAGGAGTAAAGGCTTGGAGTATCCTGCAGTTATAAATTTCTAATGAGGTAAATATTTTGTACATATAAATCCAATGTGGATAGCTTTAGAAGGGCTTTACTTTAAGTGTGACTGGTACTGCTTCTGCCAATGTTTATATTGAGGCATGCTCAGACCCTGTACATTACTACTTGATTCTCAGTTCTACCATAGCCATTTAGTTTCCAGTCCTGGAGACAAAATTAGAGCAAAGAGGGCAAACATTGACAATAGCAGCAAGTAATAACTGGTAGCCAGCTTGTCAAAGGGGCTATAAGAAGTAAGGTGCAGAGTTCATGGATGTGATTACATGAGCCTGATTTATCAAGATAAGTGGGACTGACGTAAGATTTATTTAATAGTGATATTTAAAATGTTAACTAGTTTGGTGCAGTGGTGCACACCTGTAGCCACAACTACAGAGGAGGCTGAGGCAGGAGTATAACTTGTGCCCAGAAATTTGGGCCAAGCCTGAGCAACATAGCGAGTCCCATCTTTAAAAACAATTAATTTAAAAAAAAGTTAACCACCAAATATGTGGCAAATTTTTGGGGGGGTCTACTTCCTTTTTCAACAGCGTTATGTTGAGAAATAGTTGAAATAAGTCAGAACTATTTATGTTGTTTCCTTAATATGTAAGGTTGAAAATATTTAACATCTTTGAGATTCAATTTCAGTAACTGTAAAATGATACATAGATATTAAATATATATACATACATCATTGATTTAATAGAATGATTAATAAAATACCCACATATAACAAATGTTCTCTATGTATGTAATGTATAATGCTGTCTCCTTATACACAGACACACATGCACTTAAACGTGACATAGGCATAGATTGATGTTCAATCAATAGAAGCTAAAATTGCAGTTTTGATCAGGAGGTAAAGGAAAATATAAAGTTACATTTTTAGCTAGGTCTGATTTCAAATGCCAGCTATTGAAACTTTTTGCCTTTCCCATTACTAATTGGATGATGACTCTTCAGATTGGGAATTTTTGAAATATCATGAGAAAAAGAGCTCCTCATGTGTTTAACCTTAGATAGCCACACATATCATCACACAGCGACCCGGAAGCTTATAGAGTCAAATGTGGATGGCATTATCAATGATATTGTTTCCTTTTTGCTGGAAGAAAATCGGTCTAAGAGAAACAAACCAAAACAAAACAAGAAAATGAAACAAAAAACACATTCGAATTCACCACAGTCAGAAAGCTGACATCATCCAAAGCTAATTAAATGCTTGTTTAACACAGTTTCCTTTAACCAGTATCTCATTACTCTGATCTCAATTCCATTCTCTGAAGCCATGAGGGACTCTCTTGAGTTTCTTTTTTCTCAACAGGCGGTGTAAGAATGAGAATAACATGTGCAGAGATGTCTATCTGATGTCAGTAATTTCATTTTAATAAAAAGCTTCTTGTTTTCCCATTTTTATTTGACAGGTGTGACGATGTATTCCTAGAATTGAAATGAACCTTCTTTATATTTTCTTTTATTAATAAAGATATCTATTGAAACATAGTCTAAAAGGTTTTTATAACATGAAAACAAGGTGTCAAACCTATTAAATACTTAGGCAAACCAATAATTTTTATGCAGATTAAAATTCAATACAGAATGCACATTTATTCTATTTACTACACTGTGCCAATGAGGAAGAAATCAGTCTCTGCAATAAACAGAACTTTATGTCTTGTTGGAGAGCTAAAATCTCAAAAACAAGCGCAACTTCACATTTTATGATGCAGAACAAATACCGCGACCCCATTATGTATCTTCAGTGTTCTACCCTGTTGGACAAATTCTGAGACTCCTTCATAGATCCTAAGTCTATCACCATAAGTTTTTTTTTCAACTGCATGGTATCAATATCTCATTAAATAGCTGTTGTTTCCTACTTTTGTCTGCAAGGTATATCTTTCTCTTTGTTGTTAAGAAGAGCATGGTCTCCTCTCCCCTCCTAGTGTCCAAAAACTTCTCTTTCCTTGCTCACTAGCAGACAGTTTCTTGAAGGTCTTAGGTTTTGCTCATGTATAAATCATAATTTTGCTATATTAAGAAACAAAGATGTTGTAGTCACCCAGCTACTGGCTAGTATTAATTCATCTCCTTTTTTCCTAAAATAAAGGACAAGGGCTTTTTAAACATTCTGAGTCTGTAGTCTTACTTTCCATAAGATAAAACGCATCCCAAATAATGCTTCCCAAATAATATTGCTAAATAATCCAACAAGCATAATATGATATGTGTAATACTAGCACTTTTTAAATTATACTTTAAGTTCTGGGATACATGTGTGGAATGTGCAGGTTTGTTACACAGATATACGCATGCCATGGTAGTTTGCTACACCCATCAACCCATCATCTACGTTAGGTATTTCACCTAATGCTACCCCTCCCCTATCCTCCCCACCCCCTGACAGGCCCTGGTGTGTGATGCTCTCCTCACTGGGTCCATGTGTTCTCATTGTTCAACTCCCACTTATGAGTGAGAAAATGCGGTGTTTGGTTTTCTGCTCCTATGTTAGTTTTCTGAGAATGATGCTTTCCAGCTTCATCCATGTCCCTGCAAAGGACACGAATTCATCCTTTTCTGTGGTTGCATATTATTCCATGGTGTATACGTGCCACATTTTCTTTATCCAGTCTATCATTGATGGGCATTTGGGTTGGCTCCAAGTCTTTGCTATTCTGAATAGTGATGCAATAAACATATGTGTGCATGTGTCTTTATAGCAGAATGATTTATAATCCTTTGAGTATATACCCAGTAATGGGATTGCTGCGTCAAATGGTATATCTGGTTCTAGATCCTTGAGGAATGCCCACACTGTCTTCCACAATGGTTGAACTAATTTACTCTCCCACCAACAGTGTAAAAGCATTCCTATTTCTCCACATCCTCTCTAGCATCTGTTGTTCCCTGACTTTTTAATGATCGCCATTCTAACTGGCATGAGATGGTATCTCATTGTGGTTTTGATTTGCATTTCTCTAATGACCAGTGATGATGAGCTTTTTTTCATATGTTTGTTGGCTGCATAAATGTCTTATTTTGAGAAGTGTCTGTTCATATTCTTTGCCCACTTTTTGATGGGTTTTTTTTCCCTGTAATTTGTTTAAATTCTTAGTAGAGTCTGGATATTACCTCTTTGTCAGATGGGTAGATTGCAAAAATTTTCTCCCACTCTGTAGGTTGCCTGTTCACTCTGATGATAGTTTCTTTTGCTGTGCAGAAGCTCTTTAATTAGATCCCATTTATCAATTTTGGCTTTTGTTGCCATTGCGTTTGGTGTTTTAGTCATGAGGTCTTTGCCCATGCCTATGTCCTGAATGGTATTGCCAAGGTTTTCTTCTAGGGTTTTTATGGATTTCGTCTTAACGTTTAAGTCTTTAATCCATCTTGAGTTAATTTTTGTATAAGGTGTAAGGAAGAGAACCAGTTTCAGTTTTCTGCATATGGCTAGACAGTTTTAAAAACCAGGAAACTAACTTTTGGAGAGGATAATTTATCACATATTATACAAGTGATAAAACCAGAACTTAAGGAAGCCTTGATTCTTAGAACCCCTGTTGGAACGTCATGTTTCTCCTTTGATTAAAGTACCCATTACATAGTTGCAGCACTCTCTTCCAAGCAAATGTAATCTTCCAGGAAATTGGTCTGAAAGCTTCTTTGTAGAGCAAATGACTTTGTAGAGAAAATGGCTTTGAAAAGTCTGTTGAGGGGCAGAACTCTGCAAGCATGTTAAAGCAGAAAGAGAAAGACATCTAGCTCAATAAAGAAAAGAGGGAGGAAGCTAAAAAGCTGAGCAATGTCAGCGGGTAGGGTAAGGGGAGTGGGTGGTCCCTAGTTGCTAGAAAGAATGAACAGAGACTTTAAGGAAAGTCTGATTGTCTCCTGGAATTGATGGTGGTGCCTCAATTTTTTTTTTGTGCACAATCTATAGTAAATCTCAGATTGCATTTTATTTTGAAGAGGTGTTTTTTTTTTGTTTTTTGTTTTTTGTTTTTTGTTTTTAAAGAATGTGGAGAAATGCCAAGTACTGCTGCAAGGATAGACTGCTACAACTGATGCTCACTGGGCATCTGACTTTTGGTATCATACCCTTCTCAGAAATATGCTGAAAATATATGAGAAAAGGCATAACTCCTGCTGTCAAGGAACTTAAAATGTAGTTGAAATGTTGAATAAAACTTATAATATGCATTTAATATTTTAGCTGGCTAGATTGGTGTTATGTAAGTAAAGAATGTAGATAGATCTGTTAGGGCCCTTACAGGGATTTAAAGACATTTTAATGATATGTAAATAATATTAATGCCAGTTTTTACAAAAAAAGTATAAAAAGATACAGAACTATTTATAAAATATATAAAAATAGTTTCTATCTCTTTTTTATGTTACTAAATATGGATTCCACTTTGATTTGGGGCCACAAGAATCATTTTGCTAATATCACAAGCTAGGACTGCTGCATGAGGCAAAAATACCTACAATTTAGCATATGAATAAGAAATCTTAATTTATGTCCAATTCTAGTTCTCTTTTAATTAAATAGATTAATTCTGTTCTCAGAATCAATGTTAGAAATTGTGTGAACACAAGAAACAAAGGAAGTAAATGGTAAAAGCTCTTCCTTCTATATTTTGCCATCAAAGAAACCAGGCCAGTGAAAGTGCTTTCTGGAGCTATCTAGATGCAGAGAATTTTCCAGCTGAGCCCTCCCCAGTTGCATTCACAGAATAGGCATGATGTGTGACAGGCTTAGCAGCCTATCTCAATCTAAAGAATTTAGAGAAAAATAAAGCAGAAATCTAAAGAATAAAAACACAATGTAATTTCAACAGTGGGCTTACTTTTTTTTTCTAAACTAATACACTCTAACATGTTCCACGGTAATAAGGACTATTTTTGTATTATTGTGTGTTCTATTATATTCTGTCATGAGAACTATTTTTCAGAGACTTATATCTAAAAGTATTGTTATATTTTTCTTTATCATTCTAATGGCAGAGATTATACTTCCAAGAACAGAACATTTTTCCAAAAAAATAATAATAGATAATCATTTCCTTTGAGAAGGTCTATAATGAGGGCAGAGTGTGAAGGGGGAGAGAGTGTACATTCATTTTTGTGACAAATATTTTAATGCACAGAATATTATGGACCATTAATCCATTTGTATGACAGGCTTAGGTTGGACTACCACGGGACTTTGGAGAATGTCATATTCTATATTGGTTTCTTTCTCCAGAAGGAAAATTATTCATCTGGTGGAATATGGAAGAATACAAATTGAAAGTACAAATTTATCCTGCCAAACTACATATAGAAGCATTTCTCCCAGCAATTTCTGTAAACACCCATTTTCCAGCACCGTATTATACAATTGCCATAATTAATTAGCTTTATGGGGCTGTGCTCGGCAGTCACCTGCTTTGAGAAGGAAATTAAAGTAACTGTTTGTGATAAATAATTATTATTGTGGCTAAAATTATAAACCATACTGTTCTGATTACGTCAAGTTTTCCACAGTAAGGGAAATAAATATTTCTAGAAGTCATTAAGCTTTCCATAGGGAAAAAGATAATTAAATGAAAGGTATAAATATTTATCAGTCAACGGCATAACCAAAGATCTAGGGTTACAATGCAGGAGAGGTCAGAACTCAAAAGTTTTTATGTATTTTCTATCCTTGTCATCTGATTAAGAGTAAATATCTTTTCTGAATTAGATGATAAATAATATTGCCTACATAGGTAGATGAGGCTAGAAATCTGATCTTCCAATATTGCTGATTATCAGGCAACATAGCTAGAAGAGAAATCTATAACAATGAAACCAGATTGCATCTCATTAGTATTCTTTATTTTTCTAAAGAATATTAAACAATATTTTAAAAAGCGACAATATTAATTATATATGTTTCTGTATAAGCCAGTCTTGGAGGACACCAGTATAGTTCAGGACTGAGTTGAGCTATAGATAGACTTGGACTTTCGCTGAAAAGAGCGGAAAATATTGTATAATGTCTTGGCCCAGGTAAAACAGACAGTAACTAGGCAACCAGAACTAAAAAACACTAGAAACTAGTTTGGGAAAGCACGTGTTACAGTCTGTGCCACATATCCCATTTTGATCTTACCATATATGTAGTAAGTTGAAAGGTAGAACCTAGAAAGATATGACCAAATCCCTATCATCTGTGAATATTAGCCTATTCGGGAAATGGGTTTTTGCAGATGTAATAAAATTCGAATCTTGAGATATGATTACCCTGGATTACCCAGGCAGGCCCTAAATCTAATGACAAATGTTCTTCTAATAGAAAAAAGAAGGCACAGACGTCACAGGAAGCAGCAATGTGAAGACAAAAGGAGCTACAAGCCAAGGAATCCTAAGGATTACCAGCAGCCACCAAAAGAAGAGCATAGAATGGATTCTCTCTGGAGCCTTGGGAGGGAGTGTAGCCCTGCTGACATCTTGATTTCAAACTTCTGGCTTTTAGGATTGTGAGCAAATATATTTATATTACTTTAAGCCACACAGTTTGTAGTAATTTGTTACAGCAGCTCTAGGAAACTAATGCACCGTATTATCCTCAAAGTAAAATGGTAAATAAAAATATACCAAATGGTATATTAAATGGTATATTTAATGGTAAATTAAAATATACCAAGAAAGTCACTTATAGGGAAAAATAAAAGATAGATATTCCCATTTATGTAACTACCTAAAACTACTGGAAAGACATATGGGCTAAACTTGCTGACATCTTAGAAGCCTGGCTCCCGCAAGATGGAAAGAAGTTCCAGGTGGGAATAACCCACGTGGACATAAATCCTCTCTACATCTACTAAGCAAAACATCTGATGACAATGACAATCTCTGCTTTGGTTTATGAAAATTTTGCCATCCATGAAACCCAATAGGGTGAAAGGGCATGTACAGTGAAAGCCAGACAGACTTAAGTAAAAAAAGTAGTTTCCTGGCAGAAAACAGGATGGATTTCTGGGAGAGACCAGAAAAAGGGAAAAGCAAATTCTGGGAAATCTCTGGTTGTAGGCAACATGGATAAACCATCTACTATTAAGTCCCCCTGCAATATAAACAGCCTGTTGCTCCCCATTAAGATGGCATGGGACACAGAAAACTTTTGGAATGATTCTTGAGGACCTAATGGAATACGTGGACTGCACCATTTTTTGTTTCTTAATGCCACCTGTTTCAGAACCCTTAATGAACTCTAGGGCTCTGAGTTTTTGTTTGCTTTGTTTTGTTTTGGGAAGGATGTAGAAGTCCGTGAGGCGGCACGCTGGTTTCAATTTTCCTAGATAGTTGTGTACTTATTTCAACTGCTTGGCTGACAGGGATAAATGCTAAGACCCTGTACTTTTAATTCTTTTCACAGTGTTCAGCATGATTTAACAGTTGACATCCACTATGGCGTATCAGAAAGATTGTGCTGTGCAAAATATTCTTCCATTTGATAACAACAATTTCATTGCCCTTGTATGGCACAGGTGCCATGGGGAAGTCATGGGGATGTACTGGGATCATTTAGATCTTCCTGATTTTCTAGAAATCCTGAAACCTCTGCCCTGATTCATAGAAGGTTTCAGGCACAGTCCTCTGATTGCCCCTATGGCTACAGTTTTCTACCTGTAAGTTAAAAAGACAGCAGAAAGCACCAAAAGGGGGGGGAACATTCAGTGATACATAGTGCATAAAATATTTTGGCACACTGACAGATTTAAAGTCAGCTCGACCATTTACTTGCTGTGCAATGTGGGAGACATTTCTTACCTGCACAGAGATCAGTTTCTCTGTCAGTTAGAAACTATAAACTGCTGCCAGAAACAGAAACTAAACTTTGATGGCTGAACACAAATGGGTTTATTCTTGCCTCTAAAGTAAGCATGAGGAGACAGTCCAGGGTTGGTATGAAAACTCCAAAAAGTCATAGAAAACTTGGGTCCTTATCTCTGCTTTCTTTAGTAGATGTCTTCTGTCCTCAAGGCTACCTCAGATTCATGGTGGCTCCAGTTATCACATCCACACTCCAGGCATGTGTTAAAAATGTGTGCATTGGTAGGGAAGAGGATAAGAAGGGGACATGCCAAATATTTGCACTTCTCTGCAGGAAATTCTCTAACAGTACTATCAAATAGTATTTTGCTTCTCATTTACCTTCCTAGTAGTCATAGAAATTAGAAAAGACCATCCTTTTCTGGATACACTGCATCCCAGTTAAAAAAAAGTCCTATTACAAAGAATAAGGTTTTTTTTAAGTCATCCAAAAAAATTGAGTAACCATCATTTCAAATACACTCTAATATGACTGAAAGTTGCCAAATTTATTTTCATATGGACCTTTGAGTTTTGCCCGCTGCCATGGTACATCTCATACCAAAGCATTGCCCATGCTTCTTTTAGGTACCGGCTTTGATACAATGATCCATATCCGCTTGTCTCCTAACACCCTGCTATTCATTCATTCATTCATTCAACATTTACTGTGATTCAACTATGTGTCAGGTTCCAAGCTGAATAAAATACAGTCTCTATTACTACAAGGAGCTCAAAGTCTACTAGGGGAAACAGACATACAGACATACCCAGAACACACACTTGTGCAAAGATAAACACATGAAAAAATTGTTTACAATATGTAAGAGTTGTAGAGCCACTAAGACAGGAGCAGTCAGGGAGGGTAGAACCCCAGAAATCCTCATGCCATCTTCCTGTTAAAGCCTCTTCCCTCCATCCCAGCATACCTTACCCTGAATTCTTAGAGCCTGAATTGCTTCTTTTAAAACTTTATAATGGTTGCAATCATACCATGTGTGCTTATTTGTGTCAGGCTGCTGTTAATCCACATATTTTCAAGATCTATCTATGTTGTTGCGTGCAGCTGGAGCTTGTTTCTTGTTTTACAGTGTTCTTTTGTATGACAGTGTCACAATTTATTCAATCATT
Source organism: Homo sapiens (assembly GCF_000001405.40). Taxonomy (NCBI): domain Eukaryota; kingdom Metazoa; phylum Chordata; class Mammalia; order Primates; family Hominidae; genus Homo; species Homo sapiens. Next base: position 116,374,136 of record NC_000002.12, read on the forward strand.
CCACTCTCAGTGGGAATTTTGGTAGATTCTGGTTTTGGAATTTATGAATAATCTTGCTTTAATAAAACTCACCCATTTTTGTAAATATATGTGCTTATTCCTATTGGGTATGTATTATAAAATTACTGGGGTATATTTCATGTGCATATTTCTTTTTTGAAGATAATGCTCAACAGTTTTCCAAAGTAGTGGTATAAATTCTACCTATTTCCATGTAAAATAGCATTTATAGAAATATGTGCTCCCATGAAGAGAGTTCTAGTTCGCCCACATCCTCAGCAACACACAATGCTGAACTTAATCACATCTTATCCTTTCTCCCCCAAATCTGTTTCTTCTACATCGTAGTAAGTGACGTAGCTGCATTCCACACTTGTGTGTCTGCACTGATTTCTGTTTCATTCCCTGAATTCAATGAAGCACAAAGCATGATTATTCTATTTCTAAATATATTTCTAATGTATCGGTTTCCCCACCTCTGTTGCAAATGTCCCACTCTAAACAAACGCAGTATCTCACTTGGTCAACTGCAGTCGCTTTTCAACAAGTATTTCCTTTTTTTCCTCCCTTCAATCCAGTCTTCATACAGCAGTCAATGGGGTGTTCTGAGATGTGTTAAAAAGTAAATTGTATTATTTGCCATCTTGTTGAGAAATCCTTCATACAAATTGTTCTATAATTCTAATGTTTTAAGTTTCATTCTTTAGTATGTATCATAACATTATTCTTTTATGGTTAAATAGCATTCCATTGTATAGATATGACACATTTTGCTTGTCATTTCATTTTTTTGATACACATTTGTGTTATTCTCACCCTTTGGCTATTGTAAATAGAGCTTCGATGAACATTAGTGTACGTTATGCTAAATGAAAGAAGCCAGACACAGAAGGCCACATATTATAGGACACCATTTATACAAAATATCCAGAGTAGAAAAATCTGTAGCAAGAAAAAGCAGTTTTGTGGTTTACAGGCGCATGGAAGAAGAAGAATAAGAGTCACTGGTTAATGAGTATGAGATTTCCATTCAGGGTAACAAAAGTTCAGAAATTAGATAATGGAGATGGTTGAACAACATTGTGATTGTAGTTAATGGCATAAAATGAAACACTTTAAATTAGTTAAAATACTAGATTTTGTATATATTTTACTACAATAACAATTAGATTATAATGAGGGTTGCACAACTCTTTGCTAAAATCATTGAGCTTTGAACTTTAAAAGTGTGAATTTTATAATACGTTATTTATGTGTCAATAAAGCTTTTTTTTTAAAGGCCCGTCATCTAATTCTCATTTACTTTTACAAAATCCCAAACTTCTCATCTTGAATAATCTCACTCCTTTTGATCCATCATTCTCATTTGGAGCCATTCTTCTTAGGTTAACTAACCTCACACCCTTTTTAATCTCCTTTTAGTTTCTGTAACACACTGCATCTTCCTTACCTTGAGCCCTCTATGCTTTCCATTCTCTCTCTGCCTGGGACATTATTCATCTGGATTCATCTGGATTCTCCTCCATGGCAGAATAATTCTTTCTCTAACTTTCACTTTGAACCTCATCCCTGTAGACAGATCCCTCCGCACCCTATACAAATCACCCTCAAGTCGTGCCTCCTGCACTCACATCCATTCAGTTTGCTCCGTCATCATCTCATTACCAGTTATCCATTTAACATCTGTCTTTCCCCCACTAGGGTATAAGCTCCATGAGAGTGGAGACTATGACTACTTCATCTACTTTCAATAGTATCTGGCACATAGTGCTTAAGAAATATTTATCAGGAAGAATATTATGAATGCATGCCTCTCACTGGTCTATATTTGAAGGTGACATTTCAACAGATGTTCTGAATAAAGTCACTCCCGACACTTAATGTGAAGAATTCTGACTATACCTGACCTATCTAGAACTCCAATAAATGTTTTGTGGATAAACTTTGGAAATGTCATCTGAGTCTCAGATTACTAAATGAAAAAGATTTCTTATATAAAATAATATGCCCTTCAATTTATTTTAGTTAACTTAATGTTCAAAGATTTTATTCTTTAACATCAATGTTATTAATATAAAATCAGTTTCCATCTATTTCAAGTACCACACATAGCCATATTTCTGAATGACCTAAGTTACAGCAACAAAGTAAATTACTTTTATTTTTGATGTTTTCATAATTAAATGACTCATAAAAGTGGTTAAATTGTAAGATAAATGGACTATAACCACCCTCAGCCACTTTCTAGGTACATGGCAAATATCTTAGACTTTCTGTAATAGTCTTCATCTATTAAATCCAGAGGTTAGGTTAAATGGATGTTACATCCTCTATGAGTTCCCCTGGCCTCAGGACCTTTCAATACAGAAATACTGTCTAGACATCTGCTGAATTGTTGCCAATTTATTCAGTTCTTCCACTTCCAAAAAAGTAAATTTAAAAATGGGCCACCAGAGTACATTTAAATTTTAATGAGAGTTATACTCCTTTGTTTACATATTTTCTTATTACTTACCTAGATTTTTTTAAAGTCACATATCAAATCAGAATTATGTCTTAATATTTTAGCATTCTTTGACATTCCATTTTGCAAGGAGATACAATTCAAGTTGAACTTGGGAATTTATACACATTGGTAATTAGTTGAGCCTTGTAAATTGCAGACTTTATTTCCCCATACTGGATCTCTGAGATATTGTGTCAAGACATGAAACTATATGTCAAGATGTGGGGAAATATGTGCCAAAGTGTTACGGCTTAATTGAAAACACAGCTCCTGAAAAAAAAAGTGGAAAATTGTAGAATGCAAAAAGAACATTTAACATGTTTGGAGTGGATCAAAGATATCCACATACTCTGTGGATTCTTTACTGTGGAAATGAGCCATAAGTTTTCAATAAAGCAGTCAGGAATATTTCATAGTATTTCCCCCCTTTGTGAAATAATTAATAACAGAATAAAGAAAAGATATGAAGACTTGTTAGAAGTGACAAAAAGAACATGAGTAAGTTATCCTGAATAAATGGAAAAGTGCTGGGAAAGCATTGGAAAAGTTTATACAGGTGCTGTTCCTCATATATACAAATTTTTGTTTTCCTCTCTAACCATCATTGTTCTAGCCATTCTGTGTCTTTAAGAAGACCTTTTGTGTATCACAGCCAGCAGAGATTGTACCCTCTCTCCAAATAGCAACAGTACTTGTAAAAAGTATGTGAAGTCAAGTAGGATCTCTTCTAACTATCTTATGTTTGTGAAACACTTCTCTCATGTGGCTATAAGCTTCCTGAGGGCAGAGATGATTTCATAGTTCTTTTTTCACACCCGTAGCACAGTGGCAATCACCTACTGTGAAGATAAATGCTTACTGCTTAAAGCCAGAATGATTCAATCATAGTAATAGTTATTGGCTGCCTATTCTATGTCCCAACACAGGCTGATGCAGAAATTGCTTTCTATCCCAAGGGGGCACCTCAGTGCTTTTTCACGTAGGGAATATTTTTCAAATATTGTCATACAAAGCTGAAGCACTGGGGTTTGAAGGTATGTAAAGTAGTCCTGAAATTCATCTGCGGATGTATGTTGGCCCTGACACATCTTCCTGGAAAGGAGGTGGAATTAATTAACTGCCTAATTCCCAGGGATAGGAGAGTTGAGGTTTTGGGGTAACAAAATGTAAACCTGTCTCTGAACATTAGGAAACTGGAATAATCAGTGGAATGCTTTAGTATCTTCATTAATAAAGGCACAGATTTTATTACAATGCTTTTAAGTCCTAGCAACACCAAATTTTTTCCTAATCTATTGATAAACACTAAACCAAGAGATTTTCATTCTATGTGGAAAGTAAAAATATTGATTCCTATCATATTCTGCGTTCCGTGTGAAACACATCACATAAAGATGGGCATTTTGCTCTTGAGACAAATTTAGAGGTAGGCTCTTTCCACCCATTTCGCATAAGATAAAACTCAGGCTCAAAAAAATAAGTATCTTTTCCAATTTCACAGAACTAAAAACAAGATGAGCCCTACATAAAGGATGTTCTATGGGATTTACTTTTCCACTTCTGCTTTCTATTGTATATGATTGTATGAAACAGGGTGGTATGCCTTAATATTCTTGCAACTAATTCTTAAAAATACAAGAATAATTAGAAAAATAAATATTAAAGTAGAACAATTTCACATTTTCAGCTATTGTGTTTATTGAAAATTTAACAGTAGTTGCATAAAAGTACTTGATGTCATTATCTTTTCTTCCAACAGAAAAACAATAAAATCTATATAATTTAATTTTACATTTGAAGTAAATGCTAGTCACAATAACCTATAAAGTTATTCTCTGGAAAGTTTTTCTGTAAAACAAATGTTACTGTTTTTAATTAGACTACATTGTATGCACAATTTCACATTTGATGCTGAAATGGGAAATTAAAGAATTCAATCTCATTGGCCTTAAGTCAGTTCAAAATAAAAAATAACATCTCATTTTGGAGTTTAAGCCATAAACACAGCTTTAAAAGTTCTGTTTTTGAAGTTTAAGTTGGTCTTTTTTCATCATTTGGAAGTTTCAATTTTTAGCACACGCTACCTCGTATATATACACTCCTGTTTCTCCTGCCCAGAAAATAATGCCATTATAAAAACAGTTTTGAGAGGGTAAAACAAAAGCAATAGAGAAAAGAAAAAAAAAAAAAAAACTCTTCAGAGATTTTCTTTGTAAAGATGTTTGGAGTAATTTCAATAGCTCTATCTCATTTGTAATGCATAGCACATTTACTATAATTATTTTTCTCTCAGATAGCCACTGCCGAAATCACTCCTGCTTAGCTTCCATCAGCAATGGATTGGGTTACCTAGGAGACGTGCTTGTATTCAATCTAAAACAGAATAAAAATATAATTAAAATTTAGCTAAATATTCCAGTGGTCACGTCTTTGATATACGTTGGATGATCTGTTCCATTAAGAAACAGAAGAAAGACATAGGACCTCATTGCACAGAAGCATTTAATTTTTCTACGTTGCCTGCAGGAAAAATTGTACACTTCCCCTAAACTGCTATTAAGGTTTCTCTATTACTCAAATCTAACTTGCTTCTCTTGGGGTTTGCACCCTCCTAGGTGAAAGGCTAGGACTAGATACTGGACAAGAGGAAGTTAGAAGTGTTAAGAGTGAAGCACAGCTTCAATAAGTACTTATTTTTCTTTCTCCAGAGCAGAGGCTAAGCACAGGACAGAGGTTTTACAGCAATCTTCAGGAGGCTGTGATATAAACATCCCCAGATTGTATGGATAAATAAATCAAGGTATCCATAAGCTTGGAAATGAAACTGAGGTTGAAAGCCACTTATTAAGCAGTTAACTGGTCTTTTAAAATGAAGGATCTAGAACAGAAATTAAAGCATGGCATTCCGTAAGTCTTTATCTTGCCCTCTCTTATTCACAGAAGGCATTGTTAATTGATCATGTAACTATCACTGAGGTCAAATGCTGTAACACACTCCTCTGCTGTGATCACCAATACTGTAGACTAGCCAAGAGAGTTAAAACTGAGCTAGTAGAACTAGAAAGTGTGAGGTAAATAAAGCAAAGCGATTAAAATTGGAGGCTGCAAGCCTATATACTGAAAATTCATTAAACTTCTTATCTGAGAGGCAAAGTTGCTTATGGTTAAGAAATCAGACTACAGAGTAAGACTGGGTTTGCATCCCACCTCTATAATTATGTCTCTGTGCCTAAAATGGGACAAAAATAATCTACTTTATGATGGTGTGAAAATTAAATAAACTTACAACACTACCTGACACATAGCAAAGGCAGTAACAGATAGGTGTTTTAATTACGTGAGACATGATGACAACTTTCCTCTAGCCCTAGGTTAGAAGTGACTCTTAAAGTGAAAAATAGGGTAAAATACTTGTCAGTTTTGTTATCCATCCTCTCTATTATACACCTCCTATTTGTCAATTGGTTTTTCCATAGAATCCTTCACATACCTTTAAGTATTTTTTTAGGTGGTGTAATGATTGCTTTTATGAATCAAATTGGCTAGACTATAGCACTCAATTATTTAATTAAATCTAGGTGTTTCTGTGAAGGTATATTGTAGACGTGGTTAACACCTACAATCAGTTGAGGGAGGAAAAGATCAGCCCTGCTTTACTGATGTTTCTGCACAATGTATAGGCCCAGTGGACAGCTGGAGTAAGACACATGGATGTTCACCTTGCTTGGAAAAAGGCCATACGTATGCATGCACACAGATTCAGGGGCTGTGGACAATGATTTGGTCAAATGATCAGGTTCTTGAAGGCAAATATTTGGAAAATTGGTGACAAGTGGGTCTTGCAAGGATGTGTATGGATAGGCCTCTCCAGATAGGCAAAATTGGCAAAGATATCTATCTGTTCCAATGACTTATCTGGCTATCCATTCACTGTTTCAACAGTCTTTATTATTTTGGCTGTAAAATAAAGTCTTGATCCTCCTGTTTTACTCTTTTTAAAAAAATGCTTTAGCTATTTCTAGTTTGCCTTTCCATATACATTTCAGAATAATCTTTTATGGAAATACAAAAATCTTACTGAGCTTTTGATAGGAATTTTGCTAAAGGCTGTGTATCAATTTGGGGAGAATTGACATTTTTACAGTATAACTCTCTCTCGATCATCTTTGATTTCTTTCATCAGACATTTGTATCTCTCCACGTATTACATTTTGTTAATTTATACCTGAGCATTGCATTTTATTTTGATTCTTTGGTTTGAGGTATTTTTTAATTGAATTGTTAATTGTTGCTATATAGGCAAGCAATTTATTTTTCTATATTAACTTTATATTGTATGATATTGCTATCACTTTATGTGACCTAATTATATTATCCATTAGTTCCAAAAGGGGTTTCTGTTATTCTTTAGGATTTCTATAATCATGTTAATTATGAAGATAATTTTATACCATTTTTAATGTTTGTAGATACATAGTAGGTATATATATACTTATGGGATACAGGAGATATTTTTTTCAGGAGATGTTTTGATACAGTTGTGCAATGTGTAATAATCACGTCATGAAAAATGGGGTATGCATCCCCTCAAGCATTTATCTTCTGTGTTATGAACAATTCTTATACTTTTATTTTAAAATGTATAATTAGTTATTGAATATAGTCATCCTGTTGTATTATCAAATACTAGGTTTTATTCCTTCTATTTTTTTTGTACCTATTAACCATCCCCACCTCACCCCACTACCATTCCAAGCACCTGGTAACCATCCTTCTACTCTCTCTATTTCCATGAGCTCAGTTGTTTTGATTTTTAAATCCTACAAGTAAGTGAGAACATGTGATATTTTTCTGTTTCTGGCTCATTTCACTAAGCATGATGACCTCCAGTTCCATCCACGTTGTTGCAAATGACAGGATCTCAATGTGCATAACTTTGTTTCATTTTCATGTCTTAATGCATTATCTAGGATTTCTAGGACAATAGTGAATAGAAGTTGTAAAAGGGAACATCCTTACTTGTTCCAGATCTTAGGAGAAAGTGTCTAGTTTCTAATCACTAAGTGTAACATTAACTGTAGGTTTTCTGAAGGTGTTCTTTATCAAGTTAAGAAAGTTGCCCTGGATTTGTAGTTCTGAGATTTTGTTGTTTTAAATATAAATGAGGTTTGGAGTTTCCCAATATATTTTCTGCATCAATTGATAGATCATTTTTCTTTTTAGCCTGTTAATGTGATGAATTTCATCTTTGAATATTGAACCAGCCTTGCAGACCTGAAATAAATCCCATATGATTTTGGTGTATAATATATTTTATACATTGTTGAATTCAATTTAATATTTTGTTGAAGATTTTTGCATCTATATTTATGACAAATATTGTGCTAAAGGCTTTTTTATATAATGTCTTTATCGAGTTTTGATAATTAGGTAATCCTGGCCACATAGAATGAATTAGTAAGTAAGTATTCTCTCGTTTCTATATTCTGCAAGAGACTATAGAGAAATAACATTATTTCTTCCTTAAATGTTTGGTAGAATTTACCAGTGGAACAATATGGGAGTGGTAACTTTTCCTTTGGAAGGTTTTAAATTATTGATTCAAATTATTTGGTATAGGCCTTTTCAGATTATCTATTTCTCTTTGAGTTTTGAGGTTAATTATTGATATAATTGGGTTAATATCTACCATCCTAGTACCTATTTATTTGCTACATGTTTGTTTCTTCTTCCCCTCTCCCTCCATCACTTTATGTCTTCTTGTGTTATAATTGGTCATTTTATATGGTTTCATCTCTTTAGCATATCCATTATGTTTCTTGTTAGTAAGTTTTCTATTGGTTGCCCTAGATTTCCCAGCATACATTTTCCAGTAACCTAAATCAACCTTCAAATGACACAATGTTGCTTCATATGTAATGTAGGTACTTTATGACAAGAAGTTCCAATCTCTCCCTTCTTATGACCTGCTGCCATTCATTTTACTTAAGTAGATGCTGTAATTACCACAATACATATATCAATACTATTACTACTTTAAATAGTTATCTTTTGGGTCAAATATGGAAATGAAAAAATATTTTTTTAATCTTTATTCTCCCTCTGACACTTTTCCTTTCTTTTTGTAGATCTCAATTTCTGCCCTCTATCATTTTTCTTCTGCCTAAAGAACTTTTTATATTTCGTTGCAGGGAAGTTCTGGTGGTGAATCCTCCAGATGTGCACAAGTGTCAGATAATGACTTTATCTTTCCTTCACTTATAACTTCGCTGAATATAGAGGTCTAGTTTTTTCTGTGGTTTTTTAAGTATTTATACGGCTTGTTTTCTGTGCGTCCTGGATCTGTGGTTTGGTGTCTGTAATTAACTTTGAAAAGTTATTGGCCATTATTACTTCAAATATTTCTTCTACTTATTTTCTTCTCCCCTGGTGTTTTAATTATGTGTATGTTACACCTTTTGAGATTCCACAGCTCTTGAGATGTTCCTGTTGAACTATCTACGCAGTTTCTAATTTGTGTCTCTGGTGTATCCAGTCTACCTTTGAGCTCAAAAGAACTTCATTTACATCTTAGGTTTTTAAAAAAATGTCTATCAGTTTGATTTGTGTAATTTCTATCTCTCTGCTCATATTACCCACATAATTTTACCTGTTTACTTTTTTATTAGAACTCTTAACATATTGATTATAGTTCAATTCCCTGCCTCATAATTTGAAAACTTGTATAATATTGGAGTTTAATTCTCATGAGAACTTTATCTCTTCATAGCATCATTTAGTTTTGCTTTTACATTTTTTTTCCACTGTTTAACATGCTTTGTAATTTTTTGTTGTTGCAAGTCAAACACAATGTACATAGTAATAAGAACTGAGGTAAGTAAGCATTTTGTATGATTATTTGTGCTAATCTGGCTAGGAGTTGGCATAAATTTAATTTTTAATAAAAAATTTAAATGTTTAATATTTTATGTAGCCCTAGTTGCCAGAACCTCAAACTCTTCTGACTTTTTTTTTTTTTTAATCTTTGCCACTCACTTTGGCTTCCCTAAGAACTTCACCTTTGTGGAGGCTGAAGCAACTTCATCTTGGATGCACATCCATCATGTTGACTTCTGATTAACACCAGCTCTGGGAATGCATCTAAGATTTCTACTTTCACATACCATAAATTCTGCCCTTAGGTCGAAACAACTTTGATATTATTGTAAACATTTACTTACCATAAATCCTGCCCTTAGGCAAATTCCACATGGTATATAAAGCCTGAGTCTGGGCGCAGGGATTCACCATCTTGTCCCTTGGCTGCCCAAGACATGGCTTCTGTTTGTAAGTCCCTACTATTAATGAATGTTTCTTTCTGTGAAACTGGATTTGTCAGCCTCTTTATTCTGCCCCTTAGCTTCCTAGGTCTTTGGGGGTAGGTTTGCATAGACCCGCTCACTGCGGAAAAATTTCCAAGTCTATGTCTTGCGGCACATTTAACTGTAATCCACTATTTTTACACTAGACCTCTAATGATGTGAAGGTAGTATGTGTATGGGTGAGGGGGAGAAGCATTCTATAATCTCATTATTAAATCTTAGTCTTTCAGTGGGCCTGTATTTTAGGACTGTGATCTTCACCAGTGCTATAGTCCTCCTTAACATCCCCTGTAAAAAAACAAAACAAAACAAAAACAAACAAACAAAACACCCCACCTTCCCCCTTGGCCCTCATTTGGTGAGACAGAAAAGCAGTAGGGGGCTGGCATGGGAGGAAATGACTTTCCCTGTTTGGGAAAATCTCTGATACAGTCTTTTTCTCAGGAGGGTGGGTGTTTGTTATGGAAAATGCTCTGGGCATTAAAAAAATAAAACCGCTCTTCCCTTTCCCCTGCCAGAGGCAAGAGGGTAGGTTTCTCAGATCCTCACCATGAGAACTCAGTGGGGCTCATAGTGGGGCTCACAAAAGTATGGAGAGCAGTAAGTCTGCAGCTCCTATAGTTTCTCATTAGTCCACGCTCAGCTCCAACAACTGATCAACATTACCATGTAAGTTGTCCTACCAGTTTTCTACTCTAGTGATTCCCGTTTCAGGTAAGCAGGTGTTGGCTATCACTCTGGATTCACCTGTCTCTCCACATTTTGAATTGCTCTAAAACCTCAGTTCTCTTGTCCAAGAAAAGTCATACATTTTCAATTTTTTGAATGCTGTTTTCTTCTTGCAAAAATAAGAGTAAAAACTCCTAACCTCTCTACATGTGAAAACTAAAACTGTGAGTCATTTAATTTTCTTTTAATGTAAGTAATTGAATGGTACCATAAGGAAAAATATAAAAACTTAACAGTAGTAAGAACAGAGCTATTACCACCCATCTACTTAAAGGGATGAAAGGAAGCAAAGATTCCAAGAAGAGAAAGTTATATAGTGAATTTACTCTTGACAAGAGCTGTTTTTTTCTAGGAGAGCAAAGTTACTGTGTGATACCACACAGTAAGGAAGTTAAGTAAATAAAAACTCCAGTGCTGGGCTTGCTGGCTCACATCTTTAATCCCAGCACATCGGGAGGCCAAGGTGGGAGGATAAGTTGAGTTCAGGAGTTAAAGACCAGACTGGCCAACAAAGCGAAACCCTGTCTCTACTAAAAATACAAGAATTAGCTGGGCATGGTGGCGGGTGCCTGTAATCCCAGCTACTCAGGAGGCAGAGGTTGTCGAGATCACACCACTGCACACCAGGCTGGGCTACAAAACAAGAGTCCATCTCAGGGAAAAAAAAATACCCTCCAATATCAATCATTTCTTCTGACTGATCTACTAGTATTCCCCCTTGACCATCTTATTGGCAAATAGCAGGCTGGAGAAGGGCAAAGGTTGAATCTGGTAAATAAAACGTGTCCAGCACAGCTGCAATTGTTACTACCAACACTTGCTGGTAATAATAGCAACAATCAGCCAGGGTCATAGGAGGATAATGAGAATAATATCAGGGAAGAGAAACCTGGCTACTATGGGGAAATTCCCAGAACAGAAGAATTCCTGTGAGCTGAAGACTACCTCATTTATGTCTAGCAAATGTTCATAGTTTTGAATTGAATAGATTACAAGCTAGATTAGAAAAGGCATAGTTAGCAAGAAAAAATTTAATAAAACAGACTCCTGAAAGCAGGCATATGCCTGAGTTATTCCATACGTAGGGTATTCCTCTAGTTATAAAGCCCTCATATAGTCTCTGCTGCTGTAGCTTTTACCCATCTCTGTGGTTTAGTTCAGATACCATTTTTAAAATAAAACTGATTTCTCATAGAAATTAATCTCCACTTTTTCTGAATTCCTATAGCACATTTTGATTCCCACACATTTCTAATACATTCCATTAGTCATTATTAGATTTTATGTAGATATTCTTCATTCATTAATATATTTAAAATCACTTATTAAAGTCAAAGCATGGAAAAATGAAACCACATAACATTATAATAGAAATTAGTAATAATCTGGTATGGTTTGTGGTAGAAGTCAGAATTGCAAAAACAAGTCATGGCTAATTCACAAAATGCTAGGCCAGGCCAAGTGCGCCAAATTAAGGAGTTTGAAATTTTTCTGGAATCCTCAAGCGTTTCTAAAATAAGTAACTATGTATATGTCAAAGTAACAGTATGTCTAATTTGACCTAATAGATTATGTAGTAATTGCAACTAGGTATTATTTTATCCTCATGCTTAAATTTCTCAAGAAACTGGTCAATTACTGTTAGATTGATTCATTTCTTTGTGAAAACAAAACTGAGGCTCAGAACAGTAAGTGATTGCCCATGGTAATGTAGCTAGATGGGGGCACAGATTATGTTCTGTTTCCTAGTTTTGAGCACTACATTACAACCTGATGCAATTTCCCCTTTTTATATTTCTGTTCATGTTCCTGTGCATGGTACCAACTAGTATAATTTCACAGTACAATGCTTAACACCTGCTTTCTGCTAGACTATGCATATTAGTGTATTTTCTTTGCCAAATGAGTCACAAGTGATTAGCAAACGTTAGGGAAATAAACTGAGTGGAAGAAGGGAGAGAGGCATTAGTTCTCATGAGTTCTCTCTATTTACACTCAATGATAAGTCCCAAAATATTTCATCTAGATACAAGTTACATGAAAAAGGAGTCCATGTAAATGAATTGCCCGCCTGAAAAAAATTAAAAAAAAAAAAACCGTATAAGAGTGAAGTGCCATTTGATAATCTACAGTAGAGATAGAAGTTTACAGTTAACATGCTTATATCTTTAGAAATATGTACGTAGAACTTTTGTAATTTGCCTGAATATAATTTTTAATACTTCAGATCTGAGGTTTTCAAACTTTCTCTGTTCACCGTGCCCTTAGTAGCTCAGTAATTTTTTCATAGTACTCCTAAGCCGAAAGAAAGAAATCCTGTTTACTAAGCACTTAGGTACAAATAACTTACGTATTTCCTAAAAAATTAGCAGTCACTTAAAAAAAAAGGAGAAATTAAACACAATTAAACACCATTATTTACTGAAAGTATGTATGGACCTGTTTTCCACTGTAAAACTTTTCAAACCTCAGAATCAGACTGGTGGCAGCCACCCTCATTTCCTGTTTCTTGTTATTGAATTCATAACTCATAATTCATAATTTAATTCATGATTTAATTCATAGTTGAATTCAATTTATAATTCAATTCATAATTAAATCCAATTCATAATTCAATTCATAATTCAATAATTATTCAATAAGCAGGCTTCCACTGTGATTTCCTCATTCTGATTCTCTGTATTGTATATATTAGAAGATAAATTGTTTATCATAATATAAATTTTGCTCCTGCCCCTTGCCCAACTGCTCTATAGAATTTTAGTAATAATTTTATTGATGTAAAAAATTAAAATTTCAGTGAAATAAATTTGTTACATAAATGCATGCTCATTGTAAACTTTAAAATCCAGTTGAATAAAATCCCTCTTAACTTTCTACCCATATCAACTAACTACTATCTACAGGAATGATGACTATTGTTAACAATTTAAGGTATCTATTTTCACTGAAATAATTACATATGTAGATTTAGAAGTATATGGTCACATTGTATATTTTATATTAAAAATATTAGATTGCAAAATTAAAATTTCTTTTCATTTTCCCATTTTGGAGAAATCATTCTATATAAACAGGTATGAACTTACCTGGACCTCTTTTCTGCTGTTTAATACTATCTTGTGTGTTATGCTGGATAACTTCCATTTGTCTCTCCAGATCCAGTCTCCACTCTTCTCCACCCTGCTCTGTGTCCTGGGAAACCGAACTAAAACGACTGCCTAAAAGAACTCTTGATCTCCAATACCTTCCTTGCTCTATGGCTTCTGATTGCATCTGTCAGTGCAGTGAAAGCCACGGGCAGGAGATACAGAAAGAAGAAAAACAAGCCAAGTTGAGGCACTTATTTCCCATCTTCTTGCATACTTGTTTTCTATTTGCCATCTTCCCCTACCAAGGGCCATACCTTTTATCAGGTGGTCTTCTACACACAGCTGTCACGAGTTTCCCATTAGGCCAAGAGATACTGGGAGTTTTCCATTGTTATAAACCCCAGGATACCGTGTTTCCCTTTCTGACTTTCCTAAACTTGTACCCATATCATTGTAAACAATGCCTTTATTAAAATATGTTCAGTTACTTAATTTGAGTGTGCCACTTGTTTTCATCCAAGTCTTTGACTGATGCATGAAGAATTGCTATATGTAATCTTTACTTACACATTTATAACTGTCTACAATGTTTGATATTTTATACAATGCTACATTGAACATCCTTAAACATCTTTCTCTATAAGTACTGTGAGTATTCTTTTATAATGAATATTCTTTTATGGTTGATACCTGGAAGAATAGTTTTGGGGTTAAAAAGTAGCTTCAATTTAAAAATTGATACACATGGCTGAAAGTCCTTCTAAAGATGGAGGAACAATTTATTCTCTCTCTGAAACTAAATGAAAGCATATATTTTTCCATCCGCCCTCACCAACAGTGAATTTTATAAACCTTTCTTAACATGTATAAAATGTTACCTTTTAATTGTTTTAATGTGTGTTCACTGATTAGTAATGAGAAATGACCTTCTTGTAATATGTTTATTAGCCATTGATGCTTTCTTTCTCAATTGTTAATTCAAATCTTCTGCCATTACCATGGGTAGAGGGAATGGCAGATGGAGTGATATGAGAAACAAATGGAGCAGAGCTCAGGCTTTCCAGGCAAAACACAGTAACCAGCCAGCCCTGGCCAATTCACTAACTGAAGGCAAACACCTGAGCAAGCCGAATTCTGATCAGTAATTCTGGCCCAAATCAATGGAACCTCTTGGCTGGTGTGTAGATTTATGAGGAAAAAAAAAAAAAGGCTGCTACTTTAAATCCTCAGATTTAAGTGGTTTGTTAAACAGAAACAAATAATTGATAAAAATCACCTGAATCACTTTTTAAAACATTGTATTTATTTTATTATTTTGCTTTTATTAAACTCTGTACCCTCAAGAATACTGCTTCTCCTGTAAGAGTCTCAACTGGTAGCTGTTTCACTTTCCTTACTCCTGATATCATGGAGATGTGAAAGATACCCTCCATGTCACATCCAATCTCTTTTCTTCCCTTTTCTTTCAAAACTCCTAGCTTCAGTGATGTTCCTTCTTCATCCCTAGGAACAACAGATTTAAATTTGATGTCATCCTGCTTCTAACAAATATCGTAGACACTTAGGCTTCGTCTCACATCCCATAGAATTTTACCTCCCAGTTTACTGGCTGTCTGTCCAACATGACTACCCTCATAACTCTTGAAGCTTTAAATATTGACATGGATAACTCACTCAACAATCATATTTGTACCCTAGAACTTACCATTACTAATAAGCACAAACTTTCCATAATGTCAATTTCAAGAACATTGCTCTCTAATTCCACCCTATCCCTAACTTACATGCTCTAAGATCCCAACACCAATAACCAGAACCTAAGATTTACTGCCCCTCTTGTATTACATCATTCCTCTCTTATTTCTTATCTTCTTTTATATCTTTACCCAGCTTAAATTTCATGGTAAAACATTATAATCAATCCCTTGCCTGTGTCTTCAACTCCCTTGGTAACACCATAACCCTGGTTCACATTCTCTGCATACCCTGAACCTATATATACCTACTTGAGCTTAGTGGTGTAAAACACACTATCATGCTGATTGTTCACATAGAAAAGCATGTTTACCAGCTTCTTACATACTCCTACTGCTGCTCAACAACTGTATTAGGTGTTTCCATTCTCCATTCAATCTGCCATTTTCCAAGACGACCATTTCAGACACTGTCCTTTCTTCACAAACCTCCAAAATCTACACTCTTATCTGATGAGGTCAGCTCTTGCTTTATGAAAAGAATTGTAGCAGCCAAAATATCTTCTAGATGCTTCCACCACTATTACAGCCTCGTAATAGTTTCTATGACAATGTATACATTTTTCTTGTTTCATTAGAAATAAATTATTCATGCTTCTATCCAAAGGCAACACCTTCAGTTGTACAATAGATTCTACTATCACCATTTTCCTGAAGTACATCATTTCTTCAATTTTTGCCTCTGTTTTATTTATTTTTAGGTATGTGCATGATCTTTCACATCTGTGTGAAAGATGTAGCTTTTTCTCTTATCTTAAAACAAATTAAAAACTGCCGATCCTGCCTCTCCCTCTGCTTTATATAAAAACCTGTTTTTTTTTCTTTACAACAACACTCCTTACAACACTTCACTTCCCTCATTTATTTTAATGTTTCTTTTCATATTACCCCTTGAGCCCATTCCAAACAAGCCTATTGCTCTTGTCACTGTAACAGAACTTCTAATACAAGGTCAGCAATGACTTCTTAATCACTGAATACTATAGTCAATTCTTAGTCTTCATCTTGCTTCATCTATCTGCAGTATTTGCCATTCTCATCTTTACAACACCATTTTTAACTTTTTCCGGACTGTCACCGCTCTCCTGGATTTCCGTCTGTACTCTTACTTTGCATTTGCTGCACTGTGTTCTCTCATTTCCTGCTCTAAAAATATTGGAATTCCCAAAAGCTTAGTCCTTGGATTGCTTAAGTTTTAAAAAAATTGATGTGTGTACACTTACCCAATATCATTCAGTCATATATTTTTAAATGAAGTTTTTATACTAGAGATTTTAAAATTTATATCTTGTAACTAGATTTAACACTGATTCAAAGACTTTTATAGTCAACTTTCTACTTGATATGTATACTTGGTTTTCTAATATGCAACTCAAAACAATCATACCCCAAACTTAGCTCTCAGACTCTAACATGTCATCAATACCACCACTTCTTCTTACAATCTTTGCCATCTCAGTTTAAGGCAACTGCGATTTTTATTTTATAATCCTGTGAAATTGTATCTGTTACCTGCGTCTTTGTAGAGGCCAAAATAGGCTTGGCACAAAATATATTCTTAGTGTGATAGATTCTAAAGATATCTTCTTTAAAAGGATATTTAAGATGTCCTCTTAAATGTATTCAATTAACATTTTCTTTGTCCTAACATCAATATTAACACACTTGTATTTTGGACATATGTCTGATATTATTTTATTTCTTTGCTACATCTATTTATGAGTCATTTTATTTTTTAAGATTAAATGTTTTACGCTCTTTTAAACAAAAGAAAAGAACTATTTTAAACCCAGTTTGAAACTAAGTATTTAAATTGTTTTTAGATATTGATTTGATTTGTGATTACTGCGATGTTTAAATCATTTTTAACAACTTCTTTTATGTTTTCTTTCTCTACTTTAAAAAATATTATTCTTGTCTTTTGATGAATTCATGCAGTTATCTTACATTTACTTTTCTCTAATGGTTTGAAAGTTTGACATCTCATTGTTTTTCAAATGGTTGCCCTTGAAATTTTAACATGTGTATTTAAGCTTTGCTACTTCCATGCAATGCATTTGTTAATCATTTTCTTTATATTTTCCTCATATAAATCAAGAATCTTAGCAATTATTTTTCTCTTCCTCCCACCTCTGCCATCTTCTATATCAGCACATTGAAAAGCCTACTCTACATTAAGATAATCAATAAATTAATTCTAAAATAAAAATTCCCATTGTTTTCTTCAAAAGCTATCCTTATTTATGCCTAAGCATAAATTATACTGGTTTTATTGTTCTTCACTGTTTCTTATACAATCTCTCTCTCAGACTTATTGCTCCTTTTTTCAAAATGTATCCTCTAGTAATTCTTCCAGACAGGAGTGGACGGTTGGGAAACATTGTGTGTTGAGGCATGCTTTCAGTGTTTTTATTTTGCACTCATAGTTGAATGTTAGTTTGGTTGAATAAAGAGTTCTAGTAAAATAGTCATCACATTTAGACAGATAATCCTTCAGTCTTGCACTTACTATTACTAATGAGAATTCAGAAGTCTTTCTGCTGTTATTCATTTCATAGCAGCCTCTACTTCCATCCCATCCCATAGAACTTCCAATGGAGTTATCCTTGGTGTTCTGAAATTTCTTTCTGATATGACAATGTATTGGTCATTTTAAATTTGCTTTCTTATTTTAGGTAGACAATAAAATCTAAGGACTTGTGTTTCCTTTTCAGAACTTTTAAAATAACTTTTAAAAAATATGTTTTAACTATCTTCCTACCTACTCTCCCCACTCTGTTGTCACTTTTATATATAACAAGTACTGATGGATGATGGAATTTGATGTATTCTTTTGTGTATTAAATTTTATTTTCTCTCCTTGCCTTCCTCTCCCCTTCCCTGTCCCTCCTCTGTCTTATACACATACACACACATACTGACACACACTTGTGTGATGTATTGTAGAATTCATTGACCAATATCCCAGCTCACTGACTGAATTTAGCTGGGTTCTTTTAACCTCATCTACTGATGCACCACCCAATATACTTTTGATTTTTATTTATCAACTTTCATATTTCTCACTTCAGTGATGTGAATTTAGATTTTTATACCCATAATTGCATTAATATTTTCATAATATTTTAAAGTCTGCCCACATATGTTCTGGAAAACACAAAGTGATTGCACACTGTTTTGTCTTATTCTCCATTTCATTTATAATATCCAACTTATCCCATCACGTTATAAGTATTTTTTAACTTCATATGATTTTTATATCTCTTATATTTTTCCTTTTTTAAATTCACTCTGCATATCTGGAGCTCTGTCTTGTTTGGTTTAGTATCGGTTTTCCAATGTCATTCAAGTAATTTGGGTACTGGAAGAATCGGGTTAATTGATTACAAATATACTGCAGTGCAAGAAATAGGGTTTAATAAATTCAATGTCTCATTTGTTCAAATAGGATTTAATGTTCACTGCCAGTCACACATTGGCTGAAATAATATTTCCCAGAAATAACAAAGGGTCACAACACAAGTCAGAATCGTCATCCTGGGAGAAATCATAGAGATTAAGGTCGCCAAGGAAACTTTTTTGTTATATAATTACTTTTATTTATGTGAAACAAAACCTTGCCTTATCTAGATAGCATATGACTTAGTAATAGAAATTCCTATACAAATTATAATGTGTGTAGCAATTTATATCACTGAAGCAGCCATTGTGAACTAAACAATTAGTACCAGATAATGAGTAATAATTTCAAATGAAGACAACCTAGAATCATCGCTTCATTTTGATGGTGACAGTTCCAGAATGTCAAAGAGATACTAGACCCACAAATGATAATTAAATTACCTACATTCACTCATTTGTATTGCAATAATTAAGGATTTACATGCAAGAAGAACTTAGAGCCCCCACAGTCAGAGATATTGAATATGCAATAATTATTTCATGCCTACCAAATGGCTAGACACAATCTCAATAGCTAATTTAAATCTAATGGTTGAACTAATCAATCCCAAGTTAAGAAAAGAAAAATTGTGAAAAATTTTAAATGGGCTATAACAGAAAGACAAAAAAAAAATTACCCAAGGTAGCCTTATAGAAGTATTGCAATTTCCATTCTAGGAAGTATTATGATTTTTTTTTTTTTTAGTATTTCTTATAAAATAAAAAGAGAGTTAAGAAAATCTGTTTTTAACTTTAGATAGCAATGACCTTATCTTTGAACTCAAAGTCATTGGAAATATTATTGAGTATTGAGATTCACTATTATTTATAAAATACAAATTCAATTGTATTCTATTTGAGGTAAAAATTTGTGGAAAGAAGCTTATGGGCTTGAGAGTACAAGACATGGTTGAAGACGTCACACAGCAAGAGAATTAGTTCCTGTATCAAAGGGGCAAAAGTGAAATTACAAAGTATTCCTGTGGTATTGACTGTCATCAAAGATGAAAATATATAAAAATAAATAGCAAATAAAGTGACATTAGAAACTCTTCAGGATCAGAGTCTTCCCTTGAAGCTACATGTGGGTGAAATGTGAACCTTCACAACGAGGCTTCACTGTAAAGTGAAAGAAAGCTTATAGAAACGAACACATGTTCACAATTATTTGTCTATAATTTTGAATTCCAATATCTGAGATTTTTTTTTTTTTGCATAACCCACTTGGCAGATTAGCACGACCCAATCTAAGGCAACCTAGAATCTTTATGTATATCAATCAGTGTGGGTTTTCACATGTTCTGCTGAAGAAATATCAATGGCCCCGACCCTCCTGTGAACTGTTAATCATATATTGTGTATCTTCCTTTGAGAAAATTTGAAATCTGAACTATAACTTGTTCCAAGTGTTTTAAGAAGAGATGGCATGGCTCACGTCTGTAATCCCAACACTTTGGGAGGCCGAGGCGGGCAGATCACCAGGTCAGGAGATCGAGACCATCCTGGCCAACATGGTGAAACCCTGTCTCTACTAAAAATACAAAAAAATTAGCTGGGCGTGGTGGCACGTGCCTGTAGTCCCAGCTACTGGGGAGGCTGAAGCAGGAGAATTGCTTGAACCCAGGAGGCAGAGGTTGCAGTGAGCTAAGGTCATGCCACTGCACTCCAGCCAGGGGACAGAGTGAGACTCCATCTCAAAAAAAAAAAGAAGAGATGGTAGATCTATACTTGAGTAGTCAACAGAAAGGCAAAAACTGTATTTCTGTAAACAAAAAATATGCTATGTGCTATTAAATATACAATTCTATTTATTTATTCTCCATTTATATATCCAATAGAGTATGACCTTTTCAAGCAGCTAATTATTCCAACAGTGTTTCCATGTATGGATTTAGAAACTATGTGCATATGGTTGTGCACATAGGTGGGTGTATAGATAGGTATCTGGATAATATTGATTTAATAGTTTTTAGTCATGACTGATTTCTGTCCTGAGAGGATAAACATAAAACACATCTGATGGCATTTCAATGAAAAATGCAAGTAATCAAAAATGCAAGTAATGGATAATATTGTTGGAGTTTGAGAAATGTTTTTTAATAAAATAAAAACATAAGACTGATTTTTGCACTACATTTCAAGCATTTTGTACGTGTATTATAATAAGGCAAAATGATTTTCCAAAAAGTTTAGTCACTAAGTATTGAACTTTATCAAGTAGTCATGTCAACGGCAGCAATTTTGTTGCAACACTACTATATGGATGTTTAAAAAGTCATTCTTCTAACTTGAAAATAAAAACCTACATTTTCTAATGCAGAGTAACAGGACATATTCATTGGCATTTCATTACTTTTTATTTGGAAAATGACTATTTGCTACCAATTCTTCTCTGTGGCAATCCCAGTGCTTTTCCATATGTAAAAACATGAGATCACAGTATTAATACCCTACCTTTTATATATGCATGATTATATATATATTTACGTGTGTGTGTGTGTGTGTGTGTGTGTGTGTGTGTGTAAACTGACCTGAACCAATTTGTTCATTAGGCAATTATTGGATTATTTTAGTAAATATCTGTAGGCTCTGATCATTATAGAGAGAACCTTTGTAATTCCTCACACACAGCCCTACTACCAAGTAAATATTATAATTTTAAAAGTTTTGTACTAGGTTTTTCCAAATTTACAAATATTTATTGACAAGCAGGCACAAAAATAACTACAGAATCTGTTCTAAAAGTTCAGGGAAGCCTCACTCTATGCTCTGTCCTCGGGCATTCCAATAGGCCTGTTGACAGAAACATTCATCTATGGTATGTACAACAATATTTTTACAGCATAATAAGCCAATCTTCTAGGATTCTTAGGCAACAGAGTGCCACATGAAATGGGGTGATACAAAACTAAAGAATTATAGCACTGAATTGAATCTTCTGAAGTTGATGGAATTTCATACCCTATTTATGCTGAAGCAGTATGCACTATTTCTAACAACTATATTTCTTAAATATCATGAATGCCAATAATTTAAATTAAATTTCTTAATTCAAATATTAAGTTTCAGTTATGTTAAGTGCTCACATAACTACTTCTGAAATATGGATTCCTGATCATGATATGTCAAATTCTCGTGTTCTCCTCTTGTGTATAGAACACATTTGGAAATGTATCCGAAAGTTTTTGGATGTTATAGTGACTTAAGAGAACTCCTGACATTTTGTATGTGGAGACCAGGGATACTTTAGCATTGTAGATACATTTAATTAGAGCCTCTGCAAAAAAAGTAAGAGCAAAATATATGAATGTATGCTTTTCTCTAATGTTTGAGAATGAAAAAAAATCACACTTTTCAGTTCACTCCTTCTTGTACTCCAATGATACACATTAGACTTTCTAATTCTATCTTTCTTATCTCTTAATATCCCCTTCCTCTTTTCAGTCTCTTTTACTTTCTACTTCATTCTATATATTTTATTCTTATTTATTTTCCTGCGTGTTATCTTTCTCTGGAGCCGTGTTTAATCTACTGTTTAAATTTTTGGATAAGTTTATTTAAATGTATAAGTTTATTAGTTTTAGTAATTTTAGTTACTTTTAGTTTCATTTTCTCTTATCTTTCTGATGTATTCATTTATAAAAATATCTTAAAAATGACAATTTTTGTGATTTGATCCCTTATGTTCTTAAACACTTTCACAAGCAGTTTTTAAAAATATTATTTATGCAATAATTCTAACACTTTTAGCATTGGGTAGTCTAAATCAGTTTTTTATCATTTATGTAAATTCATCAAAGTGGCTTGCATTTTTGTATATTCCTCATCTTCGATTGTGCCTTCATTTTTTAACATTGTTTGCTTTTAACTGTGGAACTTCTAAGACTTAAATGGGGAATTTCAATAGTGTTCCTGCTTACAGGACTTGCTTTTACTTTTTTTTCTTTTTTTTTTTTTTTCCCGAGACGGAGTCTCCCTCTGTTTCCCAGGCTGGAGTGTAGTGGCGTGATCTCACTCACTGCAACCTCCGCCTCCCGGGTTCAAGTGATTCTCCTGCCTCAGCCTCCTGAGTAGCTGGGACTACAGGTGTGTGCCATCACGCCCGGCTAGTTTTTTGTATTTTTAGTAGAGACGGGGTTTCACCATGTTAGCAGGATGATCTCAATCTCCTGATCTCGTGATCTGCCTGCCTTGGCCTCCCAAAGTGCTGAGATTACAGGCGTGAGCCACCACATCTGGCCGCTTTTACCATTTTTAAGAGGTAACAAAGGGAGTGACACTGATCTGCGACTGCATCAGCCCTCTTAAACAATTTCAGTTCTGCTGTAGGAGTTTCTTACCTCATTGTTGCTCAAGAATCAGTAATGCCAATAGCAATATTTTCAGTCTAACCTCCTTTTTACAGATGACCTAGTGTGTGTGCTGAACATATTCCTTGGAGGACAGCCCTGGCAATATTTATCAATATCATTTAAAATAACTGGCCTCACAGAAAGACTATCATATGCATGGCATAATTGTTCCACATGATCAGTGTCTTTCAGAACATACAGCCATACGTGATGCTGGTAGCAGAAGTTAGATGTTTAAGTTCCTTCTTTCTACAATACCTAAATTCTACAATTTTTCATTTCTCAGTACCTGAAGGACTCCAGTTATTTTTGTCACAATCATAACAATTCTGCTAGATTAATAAGCTCTATTATCCTACTTCTTAAATGCTCTGGGGGAAAAAAAAGCCTGTCAGCTTATTTTAAATAGAGAAAAGCAGTGAATACAGGAGCTCCTTGAGTTTAATATTAACAAATTTTTAATGAAAAATATTAATTATAAAGCAACTCTAGGCTGAATTATAGGTACACATAGTATAAAGAAATACTAAATGAATCCACCCAGATGGTCTTTCTGAAACTCCCAGAGTATAAATTGTGTTTATTAACTTAATGTTCAAAAAGATCTTAGATTCCTCATATCTTCACTTACGTAATAATATATGTAACATTTGCAGGATGTTTCTATGTCCTGTTGATATTTTTCACCTAAAAGCACTTTGGGAAAATAATAATTATTAACACTCACAGATTTCATGTTGAGCTTGTACTATCTACTTCTCCCTTCTCATACTCCACCATGCATTCTGTCGTCTATATCAAAACTTTCATTAAGATGTACTGCATAAAAAATTTTTTTTGATTTCTACTACTCTACCAATATATGTCTCTTTCAATATTATTTTAGATAAATAAAGCTTCTAACTGAAATCGGACTACTGATGTGCACAAATGGCAACAATTCAGTGTAAGTTCTTCATGCATTCACTTTATCTTCATCAGCAGGAATAGCAATGAAAAATGAAAGGAGATGAAATGTTCACTTCAAAACTGATGATAATTATAAGTGAATGAAGTTGATCAGAATATTTTCATGAGAAAAGTATAGACCTTAAAGATTTGTTACACACTTTTGTCTACTGTGAATAGAATATATCCTGGTGGAAAAACAGAACTAATAGGAACATAGCATTTTAAATTAGGGATCTGCCTGCATACTGAAACCATTCCATGATATATTAGCACACCCAATATGCCCTTTATAGATGGCGTTTTCACTGGCACGTCACAACCGGAAGTAAATGTGGGAAAAATCTCTTAATTTCAAAGGCTATGCACTTATAGCAAAATGACATGAGATTACTGTGCCATTCTTAGAGTTTGCTCAAAAATGTTTTTGTATTTTAGTTCATTTAACACACATAGCAACCCATAATTAGTGTTGAATTTATATCATCATGCTTACTATTTCACCACTAACATGTTTTCCTGAAAAAAAAGAGAAGTTAAAAAATCCATGAATATCACTAAACTAAATGGACCGTAACCTTTGAAAAGTACAAATTATTCCTCCTTCTCTGTTTTGTTTGCTAGTAGATTTTGGGAAGTGATGAGTTAGTGAATGAATTATAGTGTTCATAATTCATACCTCACTCTACTACCCCCTGTCACCTCAAATAGTAATCATTTATCTTAATATACTTCCTGGCTTAACTTATCACTCCCTTAAAATGGGTAAAAAGTAACATACATTTTCTTAATCTAAAGAAGACATTAACTTTATCTATTCTTTCTTTTAGAAGAGAATTTGTTATCATAAGTGAGGTTGCATATATAAAAATAGTGGGAGCATTTTTCTACATGTGTGGAGACTGGAGAACAAGTGAAAGAGTTAGAGTATGTTCTTTTTTTTTAGATGTTCAGACTGCTAAGTCTTCTGAAATGCAACGCAAAAGTCCAAAGGTTTTAAGCGTAGCCACTAGAATTGGATTATTCATTTTTAATAATTTTTAACCAGTCCCAATTATTACATGAGCACTGAGATAGGCATTGGAAGTATATATGTATCTGTGTGTGTGTACTTA
The DNA here is from genome assembly GCF_000001405.40 of Homo sapiens. NCBI lineage: Eukaryota > Metazoa > Chordata > Mammalia > Primates > Hominidae > Homo > Homo sapiens. Next base: position 116,399,434 of record NC_000002.12, read on the forward strand.
CGTGTCTTTGACATTTAGTTTTGGTAGTTTTTATCTTTCAAGCAGTCATTCTATTTCATCTAAGATATCAAATACAAATTTGTGGGCCTAGAATTGTTTATAGTATTCCTTTATTAGCATTTTAATATTGCCAGTAGTGACGGGCTCTCTTTCGTCCTTTTGTATGTGTTATTTATTTATTTATTTTTGAAATTGATCATTATATCTTCCCTCTTTTATTTGGGGTTAACAGGGCTAGGGATTTATTTTACTAATCCTTTCAATAAACCATCTTTTGACCAGACAGAAAGGCTAGGTTACCTAAAAAGGCAAGCCCATCAGACTAACAGTGGGCCTCTCAGCAGAAACCCTACAAGCCAGAAGCAATTGGGGGCCAATATTCAACATTCTTAAAGAATTTCCAACCCAGAATTTTGTATCTGGCCAAACTAAGCTTCATAAGCAAAGAAGAAATAAGATCCTTTTCAGACAAGCAACTGCTGAGGGAATAAGTCACCACCAGGCCTGCCTTGCAAGAACTCCTGAAGGAAGCACTAAATATGGAAAGGAAAAACCATTACCAGCCACTACAAAAACACACTGAAGTACATGACCAGTGACATCATGAAGCAACCACATAAACAACTCTGCAAAATAGCTAGCTACATCATGATGACAGGATCAAATTCATGCATAACAATACTAACCTTTAATGTAAATGGGCTAAATGCCCCAATTAAAAGACACAGACAACATGGCAAGCTGGATAGAAACTCCATTGGTATGCTGTCTTCAAGAGCCCCATCTCATGTGCAAAGAGAAACACAGGCTCAAAATAAAGGGATGGAGGAAGATTTACCAAGTAAATCGAAAAGACAAAAAAAGCTGGGGTTGCAAACCTAGTTTCTGACGAAATAGACTTTAAACCAACAAAGATCAAAAATACAAAGAAGGGCATTACATAATGATAAAGGGTTCAATTCAACAAGAAGCGCTAACTATCCTAAGTATATATGCACCCAATACAGGAGCACCCAGATTCATAGAGAACTCCAAAGAGACTTAGACTCTTACACAATAATAGTGGGAGACGGAGACTTGAACACCCCACTAACAATGTTAGACAGAACATTAAGACAGAAAATTAACAAAGATATTCAGGACCTGAACTCAGCTAGGGATCAAGTGGACTTGATAGATATATAGAGAACTCTCCACCCAAAAACAACAGAATATACATTCTCATCGACACACAGTACTTACTCAAAAATTGATCACATAATCTGAAGTAAAACACTCTCAGCAAATGCAAAACAGCTGAAATCATAACAGTCTCTCAGACCAGAGCATAATTAAATTAGAATTCAATGTTAAGAAACTCACTCAAAACCACACAACTACAAGGAAATTAAACAACCTGCCCCTGAATGACTTGTGGGTAAATAATGAAATTAAGGCACAAATCAAGAAGTTATTTGAAATTAAAGAGAACAAAGAGACAACATACCTGAATCTCTGGGATGCAGCTAAGGCAATGTTAAGAGGGAAATTTATGCCCTCATCAAAAAACTGGAAAGATCTCAAATCAACAACCTAACATCAAAACCATAAGAACTAGAGAACCAAGAGTAAACAAATCCCAAAGCTTGCACAAGACAAGAAATAACCAAGATCAAAGCAGAACTAAAGGAAAGGGAGACACAAAAAGCCCTTTAGAAAACCAACAAATCCAGGAACTGTGTTTTTGAGAGAAAAATAAAAACAAATAAAATAGATTACTACCAGCTAGACAAAGATCAAAAGAGAGAAGAATCAAACAGACACAATCAACAATGATAAGGGAGCTATCACCACTGACCCCACAGAGATACAAACAACCAGGAGAGAATACTATAAACACCTCTATGCACATAAACTACAATAGAAAATCTAGAAGAAATAGATAAATTCCCGAACACATACACCCTCCCACGACTGAATCAGGAAGAAACAGAATCCCTGAATAGACCAATAACAAGTTCTGAAATTGAGGCAGTAATAAATAGCCTACCAATCAAAAAAAGCCCAGGACCAGATGAATTTACTGCTGAATTCTACCAGAGGTACAAAGAAGAGCTGGTACCATTTTTACTGAAACTATTCCAAACAATTGAAAAGAAGAAACTCCTCCCTAACTCATTTTATGAGGCCAGCATCATCCTGATTCCAAAACTTGGCATAGATATTAAAAAAAAAAAAAAGAAAAGAAAACTTCAGGCTGATTGTCTCTATTGTTTTCCTGTTTTTCAATTTCATTGCTTTCTGCTGTAATTATAATTATATACTTTATTCTGCTTGCTTTAGGCTTAAATTGTTCTCTCTCCCTAGTTTCCTAAGGTAGAAACTTGGATTATTGATTTTAGATCTTTCCTTTTTTCTAATACATGAATTCAATATTTTAATGGAGAATAGGCCTTTGTTACGGACAATGCTCTGGGCATATTTTATATGGTTACCTTTCTATTTCCTATGCCAGTCCATAAGGAGACCTTTCTTGACTCTATCATTGGTATCTGATGAAGTTCCCAATGGCAAAAATTCATGAATTTGGGACCTGCCCCCACCTCCATGACTGAGGCTCCCAGGAGTTTCTCACTCTTATGCTTGTCTACACTCAAAACAGCCTCCAGTAATTCATTCCAGTTACCATTTATATGTTCTTACTAGTTTATGGCTTCAGGTAAGCAGATCTCAACTATTAGTCTGAAATAGCCTATATCTCTAGATTTCCCAGTAGTGATTTATTGTGTGATTTCTGTTCAGTAAGAATGGGAATGACAGCTTCAAAGCTCTTTACATGTCAAAGCTCCCCCTATTCAATTTTAATGTTTGTTAATTATCTATACCATGTTTGTAAAAACTGAATGCAATATATATATATATATGTGTGTGTGTGTGTATATACATATATATTCTCAATATAAACAAGGGAAAGAAATGTCTGTCCCTACAAACAGATAATTCAACTTAATTATAATGAATAATCAGTGATCTTAATGGGTAAGTGGTCTAGTAATTAATTACAATCAGATACAAGTGGCCATGTTTTAAGGCTTATTCCCAGAAACTCATTTGTCTGTTCATTAGGGCAAACCTAAAGCTGCATCCTGGAAATAACCATATTTTGATAAATATTTTAATTTTAAAATTAAATTTATAAATAAATTTAGTAATAAATAACAACAAAAATATTTATTCTGTGTTGGCTCCTTACCTTCTATTCCACTCCTTATTTATAACCTCATAACATTGTTACTGTTTTTTGCTATTGTAGTGGTTGTCATGAGAACTATGTACCTTGTCTAGGCATGATTATTTTATAGATCCTACCATATACTCACTTTCTAATGATATAAAAGAATATCACACTTATTCTCAGCAGGATCAATTGATAAATACAGCTCTGAATTGAAAGGTTGTAGCTTTACTTTGTCTTGAACATTCCACCAGTCTACTGTATAAAAGTTCAGCTATGAGAAAGGAAATTTATGAAGGATTTTCTAAAATCTATCATACATATTTTCTCCCAACAATCTAAAATTGATCCCTTAACACAAGCTAAGATGAGGATAATAGCTAAACAATAGCTAAACAATAGCAGATAGATATCCAGTAGAACTTCTTTCACTGAATTACATTTTGCTGAGATGTCCTTAACTGCACTGAGGGCTATTTCAAGAAATGATGCCACGTATATCATTGCTATGGGCCCTAAAATGATGCTGTTGAGAAAGATCATGACATTGCATAATATCCTCTCCTTGAGGACCGTCTGACAAATTATTTGGATCAGGAAATTTTATGCTTTTCAAAAATTTGGTTTGTTTTCATCATATTTATTCAGAACCTAATGTAACTGACTACCTTTCCCACCTGGCTTTCATTACTATGAAGGTCGAAGTCAAATTTATACATTTCAAATCTAGCAAATATGTGCAACTCCATAGTTTCCATTTTATTACAAGCTTCAGTCATGCCTTCACCTACCCTCTTTATACTTGTTAGTTGTCTAATTTATCCTATTTTTAAAAGATATTTAATCCAGCATTATATATATATATATGTGAAGAACATATATACCTATATGAAAAACATATGTTCAAAAATGTTTGTAATACTGTATGGGGTATAATAACTATTAAAATCTAAGATAGAGGCATAAAGTAAACACGACAGTGGAAAAAGGAAGCAATGGCCCAATTATTTTAGAGAAAGTCTAGGGAGGATTTCAGGAGGAGCATCTTGACAAGTGAGTAGGATTCATCTGGCTGAAGAGGGAGGCAGGCATTTCTGCCAAGGGCACAATAAATGATAATGGGAAGCACAAGTAAGAGAGTATTTATTTTTTTAACAGGGCAGAAACAACTGCATAAATGGGAGTATAAATCCTTATGCACCATAAACTGAAAAAAAATTCACCTCCTTTTAAAGAATGATGTCTATCAAAGCCACTCTGTTTTAGCTCACTGTGCTTGATTAAGCAAAAGCTGAATAGTAGAAGATTGAATCAGCTTACCTTGACATACTGAAACAGCTGTGTGGGATCTTAAATTCCACTCTCTGAAAGGTAAGAAATACATACTCATATCTAACTAGAATTGTTGAGGTTTCTTATCTCTGGTATACAAATATGAAATTATTCCAATAATTCATTGGAATTCATTAAAGTTAGATTGGGTAATACTTTTTGATAGATTGCTAAAGTCCTGGTTTATTTTTATTCCTTTAACTTCTACTAGTTTTGAAGCCAATGCTAAAGAAACAAAAAAACATGAAAGGATGACCATTCCTCTAATTGGCTTCTCTTGTTTTGTTGTTTCCACATGTGTTACAAAAGCTTGTCCATTGTTAGACAAGATGCAACCTCAAACATTCAGTTTCAGAAAGCTTTCTCATACAAAAGTGATGGATTCATAATTGATGGATAATTCTGCCTTCAAAAGATAGAAATATCTTCAAAAGTAGGACAAGCCTATTGTGCAGATGCAGAGAAATAATATGCTTTGAAGAAGTGGTCATCTGTCATATGACAGCCATTATATATATTGACACAAACATTGCCATATAATCCTGAAAATGACCTTGACAGTGAGAAATTAGTAATTCTGACTTAGAAGTAAGGAAATTAATAAAGAGAAGCTAAGTGATTTGCTTAGTATCACACAATTGATGGGTAGTAGGACAGTAATTTGCACCTGCACTTTCCTCTTTAGCTTCCTCATTTTTGAGAGAAGTCACCTTGGGCCCAGAATGTTAAATCCCTTTCTCAGAGTAAGTGGCAAAGCCAAGTTCAATGCTTTGATCAGATGATGGTAACTGCCATAGGAGAGTTGAAAGTAGGTTCGAATCTGGGAGTTATAGGTATGTGATGTTTTTCTTACTGTAACTATCTAGAAAACAGAATCTGACTTTACCTTGATCAGGAAAATTTTGTTAGAAATGAAAATCAATGTTAGAATGAGAAATAATTTGCAAATACCTGCTCAGCCATTTTGCAGTTGATCTTAAGAAGTTAACTGATGTTAAAGGACATGTATTATGAGCAATTAAAAGAAATGCCCAACCAAAGCTGATTAATGTTTTTTTCCTGATTTAGCTTACTTTGATTTCTTTCTAGACACTGATTGATCAGTTGTCTTTACGTGATTGGTTTTGTGTTTTCTTTCCCTTCAGTTTTCCTAAATAGACATTTTCCCATACAGACATTTTTCTGAAATGTCTGTATGTTTAGAGGTGGAGAGATTGTGACATAGAGAATAGAATCTAAAACATATTTTATCAAGTTATTAATTTAGTATCATACAAATATAATTTTATGTATCCTGAATTAACTAAGGACACCATCACTTCCCCTTCAGGATCTGCTGAGCTGTCTGAAAATGTTCATATTTCCTTACCATGGAAAAAGATTTTCAAAAACCACATTTTATTTACCACTTCTGTTGTTTTCTCTGAAAATAATCAGTATGTAAAATTTATAATATACAAAAGATATTTAAAAATGCCTAAAAAGATAAACCAAACACTTAAATTACCAACTTGGTTAAAAATATAACATTCCCAGTATAGTTTAAAGTAGTCCTGTGTATTTCTCTCCTATCATATATATGTATATATACATATTTTTTTCTTTCTATCCAGATAAAAACTCTGTCCTGAATTTGATCATTATTTTCATGTATCAATGGCACACCCAGTCCCCAGAATGAGGGAGATTGTTGTAGATGAAGTTTACTTAAGTTTTGTGTAGTTTGCTCTGTGCATATTTTACACCTCCCTCCATGTGAAAAACAAAAATATGAAGCACATATTGAATTTCAGTTAATTGGTGTGCTTTTCATAGTACTATGGGTTAGTAATTCTGAAACCATTTCTTTGCATATTCTAAGTTTGGGTAAATAAGTACTTAAGTATAAAGGAATTAGATAATTTAGGTTCTTAGCTTTGAGTACTGACAGGGTATAAAAAAATGACACACCAGCAGGAATGGATTATACCTAGCACCCATTTTGCAGAAATAGTTAATTCCAGGGCTAAAAAAGGGAAAACGTAACATGGCCCTGGAAGAGCTTGATATGCAAGACAGCAAAGAAGTTCTCAGAGAATAAAAGAGACTTATCAAAGGAAGACAATAATCAAAATGAATAGATTTCCACTGAAAAATAAAAATTAATAATAATTAACAGTGATAGTGAAGTATTATCATCCACTAAATTTAAGAAAAAATGCATGTCTATGCTGATAAAAGGAAAAATGATAAAGAAAAGTTCATCTTTACAGTATGTCATTAAATACAGAAGGAATTATAGAATTATAAAGTCATTAATGAACACTAAACCTAATGAGGGTTTGATGAATAATAGAAACTTTACATAGATGAAGAACAGGAATGTTTTCACAACATTATGTGTTCATTTTAAAAAGTAGTATAGTAACTTTATGTTGGAAATTCTGGTAGACACTATGTTAACTAAGTTATCAATATCAATAACATCAATATTGGACAAAGACTGTGATATGGTTTGGCTGTGTCCCTACCCAAATCTCATCTTGAATTCCCACGTGTTGTAGGAGGGACCCAGCAGGAGGTAATTGAATCATGGAGGCAGGTCTTTCCCATCCTGTTCTCATGATAGTGAATAAGTCTCATGAGATCTGATGGTTTTATAATGGGGAATTTCCCTGCACAAGCTCTCTCTCTTTTCCTGCTGACATCCATGTAAGATGTGACTTGCTCCTCCTTGCCTTTCACCATGAATGTGAGGCCTCCCCAGCCATGTGGAACTGTAAGTCCATTAAACCTTTTCCTTTTATAAATTGCCCAGTATCGGGTATGTATTTATTAGCAGTGTAAAAACAAGCTAACACAGTAAATTGGTACCATTAGAGTGGGGTGTTGCTGAAAAGATACCAGAAAATGTGGAACTGACTTTGGAACTGGGTAACAGGCAGAGGTTGGAACAGTTTGGAGGGCTCAGAAGAAGACAGGAAAATGTGGGAAAGTTTAGCAGTCTCTAGAGACTTGTGGGATGGCTTTGACAAAAATGCTGATAATGATCTAGAGAATGAAATCCAGGCTGAGGTGGTCTCAGATGGACATGAGGAACTTGTTGGGAATGGGAGCAAATATGACCCTTGTTATGTTTTAGCAAAGAGACTGGCAGCATTTTGCCCCTGCCCTAGAGATTTGTGGAACTTTGAACTTGAGAGAGATGATTTAGTGTAACTGGCAGAAAAAACTTCTAAGGAGTAAAACATTGAGGAAGTGACTTGAGTGCTGTTAAAGGTTATATAAAGGTTATAGGGTTATATATTCAGTTATATAAGGGAAGCAGAGCATAGAAGATCAGAAAATTTGCAGCTTGACAATGTGATACAAAAGAAAATCCCATTCTCTGAGGAGAAAATCAAGCTGGCTGCATAAATTTGCATATGAAATGAGGAACCCAATGTTAATCCCCAAGACAGTGAAGAAAATGTCTCCAGGGCATATCAAAGGACTTCATGGCAGCCCCTCCCATCACAGGCCCAAAGGCCTAGTAGGAAAAAGTGGTTTCATGAGCTCGGCTCAGGGTCCCTCTGCTGCCTGCAGCCTAGGGACTTGGTGCCCTGCATCCCAGTCACTCCAGCCATGGTTGAATGGGGACAATGTAGAGCTCAGCCCATGGCTTCAGAGGGTGTAAACCCCAAGCCTTGGCAGCTTCCACATGTTGTCAAGTGTATGAGTACACAGAAGTCAAGAATTGGGGTTTGGGAACCTCTTTCTAGATTTCAAAATATGAATGGAAACACCTGGATGTCCAGGCAGAAGTTTGCTGCAGAAACAGGGCTCTCATGGAGAACCTCTGCTAGGGCAGTGTGGAAGGGAAATGTGGGGTTGAAACCCCAACACAGAGTACCCACTTGGGTGCTGCCTAGTGGAGCTGTGAGAAGAGGGCCACTGTCCCCAAGACCCTAGAATGATAGGTCCACTGACAACATGCGCCGTGCACCTGGAAAAGCTGCAGAAACTCAATGCCAGCGCATGAAAGCAGCAGGAGGGAGGCTGTAACCTGCAAAGCCACAGGGGTGGTGCTGCTCAAGACTATGGCAACCTACTTCTTGCATCACTGTGACCAGGATGTGAGACATGGAATCAAAGGAGATCATTTTGGAGCTTTAAGATTTGACTGCCCTGCTGGATCTTGGACTTGCATGGGTCCTATAGCCCCTTTGTTTTGGTCAATTTCTCCCATTTGGAAGGGCTGTATTTACCCAATGCCTGTACCTCCATTGTATCTAGGAAGTAACTAACTTGCTTTTGATTTTATGGGCTCATATGCAGGAGGGACTTGCCTTGTCTCAGATGAGACCAGACTGTGGACCTTTGAGTTAACGCTGAAATGAGTTTAGACTTTGGGGGCCTGTTGGGAACAAATGATTGGTTTTAAAATGTGAGGACATGAGACTTGTGAGGGTCCAGGAGTGGAATGATATGTTTTGGCTGTGTCCCCATCCAAATCTCATTTTGAATTCCCATGTATTGTGGAAGGGACCCAGTGGGAGGTAATTGAATCATGGGGGCAGGTCTTTCCCATGCTGTTCTCATGATAGTGAATACGTCTCTCCAAATCTGACGGTTTTATAAGGGGGAGTTTTCCTGCATAAGCTCTTTCTCTTTGCCTGCTGTCATCCACGTAAGATGTAACTTGCTCCTCCTTGCCTTTCACCATGAATGTGAGGTCTCCCCAGCCATGTGGAACTGTAAGTTCATTAAACCTCTCTCTGTTAATTGCCCAGTCTTAGGTATGCCTTTATTAGCAGCATGAAAATGGACAAATACAGACTGACATTCTATTTCTACTGATGATCCACTAAGGAACATGTAATGTCTCTATGGTATTTCTTCCAAAACTCTCTAACCTAAATATAATCATTAGGAAACATCAGACACACCTAGATTAATGGATATTCTATAAAATATTTGGCTTATGTTTTTCAAAATTGCCAAAGCTACACAAGCCAGAGAAGGGCTGAGGGTATGCTCCACTCAACTAAAGTGGCTTTTGATGCTAATTTCAGAAAATCCTCAGATTGAGCTATGGCCAAGATGACAGTGGTAGGTGGTGGGAGATAGTACTGAAAATATTGAGACATTTTAAAAATATTGAGTATGGACCAGAATTATATAACAGTATTGTATCAATGATAAATTCCTGGTTTTGATTATGCTCTTGTAGTTTTGTTAGAGAAGCCCCTTGTTCTTAAGAGATGGTACCTCTACCCTCAAAATGTTCAAAGGTTTTTGTACTATCTTTTCAACTTCTCAGTAAGTTTCAAATTATGTAATATAAAAGGTTACGATGTATGGTATAGAGAAAATAAAGACTAATTTTCTTTAGCATTAATAAATGTCCATTTTACCATAGCTGGGTTGAACTATATATTAACTTTAATTATTGAGTTATAACTTACCCCATCAACAATTAATCAGCCAGTGTGGAATTGGCAATATTTGTGCTTATGGTATTATGCACAGAAATTTGAAGAAATAAAAGATACCTTGGACATGGCTTAGTATTCATAAAGCTTTTAATCTGGTTTGAGAATCAAAACTATCAAATATAAATATGACTGAGTTGGGTGATATGTGGAATACTGAGGTATGGGAAAGAAAACATACCGTGAAAGGACCACACTATGAAACAGTGGATTTATTGAATGAGCAGCCTCATGGTTCATCCAGCATATCTGGATAAGATAACTAGAAATCTGGGGGTAAATGTGAAATGAGAAATGTATTTATTGAGCATCTAATATATGCTTGGCATCATGCTCAGTTTTTGCTACCTTATTTATTCATCATCGCAATGCTGTGAGTTTGATGTTTTTTTGTTTCTCACAATTTAGAAATTGGAAAATGGTTACTGAGAAAGTTTAAATAACTTATCCAAGTTTGGGGAATTCAGGATTTGCATTCATGTGGCTCTCATTTAAAAGCCAATTCCTAAAATAAAATACGGCAACCAAGTAATAAAGTCCTTAATAAACCATCTTAATCTATCTCTTTGATTTTCCCATTTAAAAAAGAGAGTGTTAATAGCAACCTGCAGTTCATTTCATCCCTAATCTAACTAGGAAAGTAAGATAACTTTGCCAAATTCCCTCGTTAACATGCTAGTAACAGACCTCTATACAAAGGAAGCCTCCATATCCTGTGTCAGCCTTCACTAGCATGAATAAGCTTATCTACGAAATGCTTTTACATGATGTACCAGGACCATTCTGATTGCTTAAGTCAAATAAATTAAACTGAAATGTACAGTTTTATAAGTCAAAAAGTATCATTTAAGCTATGCAATTATTAGATTATAAACTAGGGATTTTTGTAACCTAAATTGCATGGTGATTTTCCACTTGCATGTTGAATTTAGTTGAGGGCACATTCTAATATGGTGAAGAAATACTTGGGAAGAAACGTGGCTGCTCCATAATATCGTGTGCTTAGCTTTGTCCTTGAAGTTATTACTAAAACTTGATACCGAATGTGATCTCTGATTTATATGCGTCTGAACTGACAACGTAAACTTTTGTGTTATTGTATCATCCTTCCATGGTATTCTCCTCTTTAAAAACTTCTTATCATTGCATTTATTGATTTAATCTAAACTTACTGAGTACTCATTATTTTTCAATAATGGGGCTGGGCACCATATATAGAAACGGCCAGATTCAGTCAAATGTCGATTCACTCATCATGGCCTCCTTGCCAGATTAGATTTTATGTTTTTCTCCTATGTTCTTATGGCATTCTGAACATATGTCTATTTTGATGTGATATTTACTCTATATTCATATCATTTGTTAATATATCTGTGTCCTAGTCCCCAGAAAAAGTCTATAAAAAAAGAAACTAATTCTCATTTCTTCATTATAACTTTCTTAATAACAAGTATAGTGCACTGCAAAAGAAAATGATAAATATTTGTGGGAATATAAAAGATTTTTATCTTTGCTTCTTATATTGTTCTTACTTGCCCTGTGGTCACTACTTAGTTAAAATTAATAAAAGATCTCTATCAGGCACAAAAGCCTCAAGTAAAAGAAAAAAAAAAGAATTTTAAAATTATCATTTCACTGGATGACCTCTGTGGGAAAATACGGTTATCTTTACGTTTATAAAGCCTTTTCTTCCTTCCCTTTACTTCTTTTTTCCCTAAGGACCTTGCTTTAGAAAAGGAGAAACACAAAGACCACCAGAGAGAAAAGTTAACTTTAACACCATTCTCTTATTTAATTCTAAGAAATCTGTGTTGATAATAATTAAATTAATCATGTATCTTCCAAGTTTTATTAAACGACTTCCCAACAACTTTACTGTCTTTATTGAGCACCCAGCTTCTCTGTGTGAATGAGACAAAGTGCTGCCTTTGTTACTGTGTTCTGACTCAGCAGCAATTTCTTAGGATTTATGAATTCAAGATAAGTAAGCCAGAAAAGATGAATCTCTCCCTTTATCCATGTTGAAGATACTTATTCATTCACTTGTGCTAAACTCTACAGTACTTGTGAACTCTGTAACTTAATTAACATTTTTTAAAACAAAATAAAAATAGCAAGAATATGGCATTTTCCCATCCTTCTCTGTTTCATAATTGCAGTTCATTTTTCGTATAATGCTCTAGTTCTGCAAATACAGCCAATTTTTTTAAGTAATTAGGTTGTCTATTTTGGGTAAATATGCTACAGTGTGAGAATGTGTATCTCTGTGTGACTTGATATAAATTGTGTTAATTAAACATGCCATTGTTTAGAAGCAACATCTAAAAACAACCACCAGAGAATTCATTTTTAATGCAGTAATCAAATTCTGGTGCTTGGAAGGCTTAAGCTTAATGAGCTCCAGGAACTATAATCAAGTGAAGATTTTTTTTTTTTTTTTTCATTAACTGGGGCCAATGTGGCTGAGGTAAGCTAGGGCAGAGAACGGGGTAAATTTCAGCCATCAATGCCACTCTGCAAGGCAGACATCAATAGAGGCAATATTGAAGCCAGAGCTGAGAAAATAGAAGTAAATGTTTACTGGGTATATACTGTAAACTACAAACAAGACCATGTGTTAAGTAATATACATGGTATTTCTTTTATAATCTGCTCCACAACCATATGGGGACATGTTGTTGTCTCTAACGATGGTGAACTGGAACTCATAGTAAGTAAGCAACAAAGAGATCACAAGGTTAAAGTATATAACTTTATTGGCATGCATATTTTAAAACTGCACAGTGCTGGCATTTTCTAAATTAGCAAGTTCTACTCAAAAGGTGGGTAGAGGGTTGGGTAAAGAGAGAATGGGAAAAGCAAACTAGAAAGTAGGAGAGAAAAGAGATTAGAGGAAGTAGAGCGTGGGCAAATCCTGGGTACCTGAAGCTTATACAACTGGAGGGGACTTCCTCATGGAAACAATATAAAATTATGAATATAAAATTAAATATTGGAGCCCTGAGAAGACACCCATGAAAGTAAGTAGCTCTAAAGATGCCCATCCTAGTTATGTTTTGCTGCAGATTAAATCATTCCCCAAATTTACAAATTAACTCTTCCTATTATGTTTTACATCTTTGGAGTTGGATAGGATCAACTAATAAGTATTTGCTTAGGGCCCCTCATGTAGTTGGAATTACATGCCAGAGAAGGCTGGAGTCATCTGAGTCCTTGACGAGCTGGACAACCAAAATGACTCATTCACATGACTGTCAATTTGTGCTGGCAATCACTGAGCACGTAGCTATGACTAGACCATGATCTTAGCTTGGCTGTCTTCATGGCCTCTGCCTGTGCCTTGTGCTTCTCATGGAATAGCACCTGGGTTCTGAGAGCAAGTATCACAAGAAGCAGCTTTCCAACAGAGACGAAGCCAATTTTGCCAATCCTTTTCAAGAGTTGCCTAGAAGTTGCACAACATTACTTCCACTGCATTTTATTGGTTAAGCAGTCACAGGTCAGTCCAGATTTAAAGGAGGAGGGGAGGGAGCCAAGATGGCCGTTAGAGAAACACTGGGAAGTTTGGCACACTCTGAGCAGATTTTTTAAGGGAAGGCATTGAGAGTGGATGGAGTGGGGACACGGATGCTGAGCTGAAAAGGGAGAAAGCTGGAAACCCCGGATGGGGCTAGCGAGCACCAGGACTGCTTCCAGGCCTCCAGCAACTCCTAGTGAAGGAGTAAGCTGAAAAGGCAAGGAATGGCACATTCTTACCATGGACCTCCAGGATCTTAGCTGCAGGAGACCTGATGACCCTCACAGACACACGAGCTGGCAGGGAGAGCTGCTTAAAGAGGTTATAGGGGTGGGAGTCCAGCCTGTATGTAGTCCAGAGAGCTTGATGAGGGAATGTCAGGAGTGCAGTCCAGCCAAGGATGCCCACCCCCTAAGGCTTGCCATGATCCTTTAGGAGACTTTAGCCATAAGGTGACCGTTGGACCTAGGCAGAGCAAGTCTTGCCTGTGAGATAGGGCCAGTCTGATCTGAGTGTTCTCCTGTCCACTTGCCTCTCCTGGGGCCCCAGCCTGGCTGTGCCCACTTGCAGCACAGTTTTCGATGCCCAACAAGGGTGCCTGTCAGTGCCCTCATTATAGTTGTTTTATCAGAAGACCACACCTGACTATCAGAGAGCTCCAGTAGACCAGCAACCGCCAACATGTGCCAACCTCCCTGCAACCTCCCTGCATGCTACCCTTCTCCCTCTGCAGCCTTCCCCCACCACTTTGCCAGTACACACTTGCCCACAGCCATTTCCACACTGCTTTGCTGGCACACACGGGGGCTTACTCCCCACACCCTGCCAGCCTGCACATATGCACAGACCCCACCAAACACTGCTGCAGGTGGAAGGACAACTACTGCCCCATCCATCCCCTGATGATGTGCAGGCACCCCGCTGTGCCATCATTACCGATGTGAACACTCACTCAGATTCCAGCAACCTCACCCCTATTCCCTGCCCCTCGTGCACCTGCCACTGCCAGTGTAAATGTGCACAGGGACAGTGGCAGCCCTGCCCCCACCAGGATTCTATCATTGCTGCTGCTAGCACGAGCACACACAGGAATGCCAAAGCCCACTCCTTTCAGTACCCTACCCCAGCTGATGCACATGCACTCTGCCATGCTACCATGACTCCTGGCATGCATGAGCAAGCATGGATCCCACTGCCACCACCCCTGTAAAGCATTTTGGCCAGCACCACCCACTGGAGTGTTGTGGCCAGGAGACTGGGAACACCTCAGCCCCTCTGGCACAGCATGTTTCTAACCTCAAGTTGCCACAGAACAAAGCTGAAAGGCAGAGTACCAGCCCCCGCAGAGTTAAACCACATAGACCAGGAGTGCTGAGCTGAGCGTCAGACTCCTGAAATCTTTCAGAAACAAGGCCAGTAAACTGAACCCACCTTATACCACAATCAAACCCACAAGGGCATCAAAGGAGATCAAAGCAAAAATCCTATCCAAAGGACAGCAACTTCAAAGGCTGAAGGAACATCAGCACATAGATGAGGAAAAAAAATAACACAAGAACTCTGGCAGCTCAAAAAGAAAGACTGTCTTCTTACCTCTAAAGGACTATGTGGTTATCAACCAGCCTAAAATGGCTGAAATGACAAAAATAGAATTCAGAATATGGATAGAAACAAAGATCGTCAAGATTCAGAAGAAAGTTGAAACGCAATCCAAGGAATCTAAAGAAT
Source organism: Homo sapiens (assembly GCF_000001405.40). NCBI lineage: Eukaryota > Metazoa > Chordata > Mammalia > Primates > Hominidae > Homo > Homo sapiens. Next base: position 116,414,678 of record NC_000002.12, read on the forward strand.
ACATTAAAATGATACAAGAGCTGAAAGATGAAGTTGTCATTTTGAGAAAGAACCAAACTGATCTGATGGAGGAAAAAAATCACTTCAAGAATTTCAGAATAAAAAGGCAAGTATTAACAGAGTAATCAACCAAACTCTGGAAAGAAACTCAGAGCTCAAAGCCTGGTTCTTCAAAATAACTCCATCAAACAAAATTAAAAAAAAAAAAAAAGAACGAACAAAACCTCCAAAAGATATGGAATTATGTAAAGAAATCAAATCTATGACTCACTGGCATTCCAAAAGAGAGGGAGAGAAACCAAGCAATGTTAAGAACATATTTAAGGAAATTATTCATGAAAATTTCCCCTACCTTGCTACAGAGGCCAACATTCAAATTCAGGGAATGAAGGGAACCTCTTTGAGATGCTGTACAAGATGACCATTCCTAAGATAAATAGTCATCAGATTCTCCAATATCAAAATGACAGAAAAAGACAGAGAAGGGGCAGGTCACCTATAAAGAGCACCCCATCCATCAGGCTAACAAACAGCAGATCATTCAGCAGAAACCGTACAAGCCAGAAGAGACTGGGAGCCTATATTCAGTACTCTTCAACCAAGAATCTCATATTCAACCAAATTAAGTCCCATAAGCCAAAGAGATATAAGATCCTTTTCAGACAAGTAAATGCTAAGGGAATAAAAGGATCTACTACACCTACAAGACTTGCCTTACAAGAGGTCCTAAAGGGCATGATAAATATGGAAAAGAAAGACCATTAGCAGCTGCCACAAAAAAACACACATAAGTACATGGACCATTGATATCATAAAGCAAGCACATAATCACGTATGTGTAATAAACAGCTAACAACACTATGACAGAATAAAATCCACATATATCAACATCAGCCTTGTATGTAAATGGGTGAAACACACACTTAAAAGGCACAGAGTGCAAGTTGGATAAAGAAACAGGACCCAAGTCTATGCTGTCTTCAAGATATCCATCTCACAGTCAATGACACACATAGACTCAAATAAAGTGATGGAGAAAAATCTACCAAGAAAGTGAAAAACAAAAAAGAGCACATATTGCTATTGGAATTTCAGGAGAAAAAAAAAACAGACTTTAAAACAATAAAGATGAAAAAAAAAGACAAAGAAGGGCATTACACAATAGTAAAGAGGTCAATTCAACAAGAAAACCTAAATATCCTAAGTATGTATTCACACAGAAAAAGAGCACCTATATTCATAAAACCAAGTTCTTAGAGATCATTGAAGAAATGCGGCTAGCCACACAATAACGATGGGAAACTTCAACATCCCACTCATGGTATTAGATCATTAAGGCACAAAACTAACAAAAATATTTGGGACTGGAACTTTGACACTTGACCAAATGGATCTAACAGACATCTACAGAACTCTTCACCCCAAAACAAGAGAATAGTCATTCTTCTTATCTGCACATGGCACATACTCTAAAATCAACCACACAATTGGCCATAAAATAATCCTCAGCAAATTCACAAAAACTGAAATTATATCAACCACACTCATAGACCACAGTGTAATACAAGTAGAAATTAATACCAAAAAAATCACTTAAAACCACACAATTACATGGAAATTAAACAACCTTCTTACTGAATAAATTGGGTAAAAAATGAAATAGAGAAAGAAATCAAAAAATCCTTTGAAGCTAAGGAGAACAAGGATATAACATACGAGAATCTCTGGGACACAGCGAAAACATTGATAAGAAGAAAGTTTACAGTGTAAAACACTCACATCAAAAAGTTAAACATCTCAAACTAAGAACCCATTTTCACAACTAGAGGAACTAGAGAAATAAGAGTAAACCAACCCCAAAGCAAGCGGAAAACAAAAAATAATGCAAAACAGAGTTGGACAGAATAAAATTGGGAGGTGAAAAACCATACAAAAGATTAACACACTTATTAATTGGTTGTTTGAAAGAGTAAATACGATGGGTAGACTTCTAGTTAGACTAATAAAAAAAAAGAGAAGACATACATGCAATAATAAATGACAAAAAGGACTTTAGAACTGATCCCACAGAAATATGAAAAACCCTCAGACACTATTAGAAAAAACTATGCACACGAACTAGAAAACCTTGAAGAAATGAATAAATTCCTGGAAATATACAGTATCCCAGAATTGAGCCAGGAAGAAATTAAATCCCTGAAGAGAAAAATAATGAGCTCCGAAAGTGAATGAGTAATAAAAAACCTGCCAACCAGAAAAAAGACCAGGACCAGATGGATTCACAGACAAATTCTTCCAAATGTATAAGGAAGAGCTGATATCATTCCTACTGAAACTATTCCAAATAATTCAGGAGGAGGTACTTCTCCCTCACTCATTCTATGAGCCCAGCATCATTCTGATACCGAAACCTGGCAGAGACACAGCAAAAAAAAAGCAAAACTTAAAACTTCTGGCAATATTCCTGATGAACATAGTTACAAAAATCCTAAACAAAATACTTGCAAGCCAAATCCAGTACCACATCAAAAAGCTAATCCACCACTGTCATGTAGGCTTTATCCCTGGGATGCAAGGGTGGTTCAACATACAAAAATGAATAAATGTGATTCATCATATAAAAAGAATTTTAAAAAACTACATGATCCTCTCAATAAATGCAGAAAAGGCTTTTGATATAATCCAACATCCCTTCATATTAAAAACCTTCAACAAACCAGGCTTTTAAAGAACATACCTCAAAGTAATAACAGCCATCTATGAACAACACACAGGCAACATCATACTGAATATGCAGAAGCTAGAAGCATTCCCCTTGAGTACCAGAAGAAGACAAGGATGCCCAATCCCACCACTCCTATACAGCATAGTAATGGAAGTCCCAGCCAGAGCAATCAGGGAATAGAAAGAAATACAAGGCATCCAAATAGAAAGATATGAAGTCAGACTATCTCTGTATATAGATTATATAATTCTGTACCTAGAAAACACCATAGTCACTGCCTAAAACCTCCTAAATCTGATAAACAACTTCAGCAAAGTATAAGGATACAAAATGACCGTATAAAAATTGGTAGCATTTCTATACACCAACAACATCCAAGATGAGAGCCAAATCCAGAATGCAATCCCATTCACAATAGCCACAGAAAGAATAAAGTACCTAGGAATCCAGCTAACCAGGGAGGTGAAAGATCTCTATAATGAAAATTACCAAACACTGAAATAAATCAGAGATGACACAAACAAATGGAAAAACATTACATACTCATGGATAAGAAGAATCAGTTTTGTGGAAATGGCCATACTGCCCAAAGCAATTTAGAGATTGAATGCTATTCCTATCAAACTACCAATGGCATTTTTCACAGAACGAAAAAACAAAACAAAACAAAAACCTATTCTAATATTTGTATGAAGCCTAAAAAAGCCCAAATAGCCAAGGCAACCCTAAGCAAAAAGAACAAAGCTAGAGGCACCGCACTACCTGAATTCAAACTATAGTACAGGGCTACAGTAACCAAAACAGCATGGTAGTGGTACAGAAGTAGACACATACATTAACAGAACAGTTTAGAGAACCCAGAAATAAAGTCATACACCTAAAACTATCTGTCCTTTGACAAAGTTGACAAATAAAGCAATAGGGAAATAACTCCCTAATCAATAAATGATGCAGGGATTACTAGCTAGCCATATGCAGAAGTTGAAACTGGACCCCTTCTGAAGCAGCCTCGTTGTCTGGGATGATATCCAAGGTTCATTTTCTCATGACAAGGAAATCAAGGACATGGACACACAAGAAGTGAGGTTGGCCGGGCACGGTGGCTCACGCCTGTAATCCCAGCACTTTGGGAGGCCGAGGCGGGCGGATCACGAGTTCAGGAGATTGAGACCATCCTGGCTAACACAGTGAAACCCCGTCTCTGCTAAAAATACAAAAAATTAGCTGGGCACGGTGGTGGGAGCCTGTAGTCCCAGCTACTCGGGAGGCTGAGGCAGGAGAATGGTGTGAACCCAGGAGGCTGAGCTTGCAGTGAGCCGAGATAGCGGCACTGCAGTCCAGCCTGGGCGAAAGAGCGAGACTCTGTCTCAAAAAAAAAAAAAAAAAAAAGTGAGGTTAAGAGCAGAAGTTTGATAGGCGAAAGAAAGAGAAGAGCTCCCGTCTCTCCTTCTTTAAGAATTAAAATGTAAAAGATTAATATGTGAATGGTGCCCATGAGAAATGAGAAAATACTTTGAGCTAGGAGAATCAAAATTATCATTCATATTTATTTTGTATTATATATGAGAATACTGGCTACAGAATACTGGACAAAGTAAATTTTTCAAAGTTACACAGCAAATGAGTGAGGATTAAGATTAATTTTAGGCTGGGCGCAGTGGCTCACGCCTGTAATCCTAGCACTTCGGGAGGCTGAGGCGGGCGGATCACATGAGGTGAGGAGTTCGAGACCAGCCTGGCCAATGTGGTGAAACCCCATCTCTACTAAAAATATAAAAAAATAGCTGGGTGTGGTGGTGGGCACCTGTAATCCCAGCTACTTGGGAGGCTGAGGCAGGAAAACTGCTTGAACCCAAGAGGCGGAGGTTTCAGTGAGCCAAGATCCCACAACTGCACTCCAGCCTGGGCAACAAGAGCAAAACTCTGCCTCAAAAAAAATATTAATTTCAGACTTAATAATATTGTAAAATTAAATTAAAATTAAAAATTAAAACACTTTTATAAAAAGAACTAACAATTTTTCTTAAAAAGAAGTAAAAATTTTTCTTATGTATATTTACCCGAGTTGAAATATAGCTACATGAAAAAAAGGTTTGCCAAATGAGAATCTGGGATTTTAGCTTGAATATACATTCTTGGATACATCCTAATGTGAGCTTCCTGGAGGAAGAGAATATGTCTGCTCTGCTCAACTTTGCATCTCTAGGATTTACCACAATCCTTGGCACATGACATGTAAAGGCTAACTCAATATTTTTAAATAAATAAATTGATGAATATAGTTTGTATCATTTCAACTTTCCCAAATATTTTAAAGGCAATATAATTTGCATGTCTGGTTTATATCTCAAATCATCAATCAGGTTGTATTCTATGTATCTTGTTTCCTACCTGATTTCCAGGAAGTCCACTAGTCCCAGAAAAGCATGAAGCAGAGCCATTCTCATTGGTTCACAGACCTGCAGCCTTATATGGATCTGCTCCAGCTGACCAGAGGCTTATTAGCATGATATTTCTATACTCTTGTATGTTACCGACTTTTTCAGTGCTTTATTATAGGACAATAGCTGAACAATAGAAGATTTTTTTCCCTTATTATTGTTGGTTTGTTTTAATTTTTGTTTGCTTTTTTTGGTTATTTTTGTTGGTTTGTTAAGTTTTGGGTTTGAAAAAAATGAATAAAAGAAACTACCTAAAATATTCACTTTTTATATAAAGCATAAATTAATAGCATCATTCCACATATCAAAATGTAGAACCTGAGGGTGCAAATTCACCCAAGGAGTAGCAAGACAGAAAACAGCTCATGATAAATGTTCCCCATATTACAGTTTAACTTTCATTTAAACATTTTAAATGGTTTAAAGTACATTATAGAGTTACACAAATAAACCGGTCTAGTCTCCTGTTGCTTCTACTCCCCTCATTTTAAGCCTATTTCATTAAGTGACAATAGGAATCAATAAGCTAAATGCGTACTCTGCATATTAAAATTTTTGTCTGCAAAGATTTCCAGAAGGTTTTAATTGGAGTGAAACTTAGTAGTGATCTAAGGGAATGCACAGTCACCCAGTCATGTTACTATCAGGCTACTGAGGATAACTGACGACTGAGGGCATTTTAGATAAGAACAAAAATATTAGTTTCAGATTTTTTATCTAGAGAGATATGGAATCAATGGAGCAGCAGAACTGAGAGCAGCATAGATACCCAAACTTCCAAATTCTCACACTTAAAAGCTCATCTCATGACCTCAAGTTTTCTCTAGGCCTGGGTTGTGTCAGTGAAAGACAAATGCACTGGGGTATTTATGTCTAATGAAGAAAATAATAAAGCAGTGCAACTGGATAGCTGTTGATGGGAGCAACCGATACTGAATAATTTGTTAATTTCATTATGTTAGCACACATATTTATTTAATTATATTTAATAATTAATAGGATTCATTATTTATTTTATTAAGAAGATGCTGAGAGTGATAATCAGCAATTAAACATTACTTGCAAAAATCACAAGTGTTTCTTGGCAGTACAGAAGGGGACTCACTTCCTGGACTGGGAGGGCAGAAAAAGCTCAGTTCAAAGCTGTAATCAGAATTGCAGCAAATCTCTAGAGAAGGTTGAACACTTAGTCTCATCACGTCTGCTACCTCAATGTCAAGACTCTGACTGGGAAGGAAAGGGCCCCCGAAACATGAAGTTAGGAATATCTGGGTGACACACTTGAAAATCTTCAATCTCTATGGCCTGCAGAAATGACCCACTTCTCCCTGTTGAAAGCTAGGCTTACTCGCCATGCTTAAAGGCAGAGAGTGTTTTAATCTTCCTCTAACTACCTTCTGGCTACAGCACCATTAAGTAAGGCCATATCACAAGATAATGGAGTTGGAGAAGTTCTAGGCCTTAAATGAAAGAAAAAAGCTGCACACTGAATGGCTTGCAGAAGTAGCCAACTTGTATGAAAAAGAATTGGGAGTGTTATGTATGGAAATAAATTTCAAGAGTGTTAAATCAAGGGGGGCAGCAGGGAAATGTGAAGTTGGATAAAGGTAAGTTTATTCATGTGGGATTCCTCTTCCAGTTCATAGAATTTAATACTCTGGAACACACCCTTGGGGACTGCACCAACCAGTGCTCATATGGTTAATGGAAGCTTGGAAAAGCCAGTGGAATATAGTATAAAATAGAAGTATTTGAACTACTATGATGCAGAATGAAGTAAGGGATCAAAAGGTTCTGAGCATTGGATACACTACAGTGGATATGGTATGTAATATTGGGATATTCAGAAGATGACTGTGTTCCTGGTGGACGCTTCCTTCACCAAAACAATAAGGAACATATTAATGAGAGAGGCACCAGCATCACTGAGAAGCCCTGGGTATATGTTCTCTGAAGTCCACAGCTGATGGTAGGAGATACAGTTACAGAACTGGCTACATGACTGCAGTGGGGAAGGTAGGTTCCTGAAAGGATACAAGCTAACTTGTTTATTGCTGTAAAAACCAGGTCAGAGAGAAAGCTGGGGGACTCACATAGAATTGTGGAGACAGTTAATAGTATATGGTGTTCCCTTCAAAGCTAAAAATAAACGATTCTGTCTTGTACCTCTCACTACTAAGAAGAAAGCATGGCACATTGTTAGCCTCCTTTGGGCTCCTGAGGCAGCATATTCTGCACTTCGGAATCCTGTTGAACTCATACATTTGATGACATGTCATACTCAGCTTTGAGTGAGGCCAAGAGTAAGCACAGGCTTTGCAAGCCCAGGTTAAGATCTAAGAGGTCCTGTCATTTGGGGTATATGACCTAGTGGAGAATCACAATGTAGACCTCTACTGTTCTGGAGCAAGTTACATTGGAAAAAGAGAACTAAACACCTTTCAAAAAACTGTTCCTAGTATACAAATTCGTACTTGTACAGACAGATTGCCTGATGATGGGACATAATCTATCTATGTAGAAAGAACTGCTATAAGCTGGCTTCTATCAGACCCATTAAGTCATAGGCTGAATTGGCCCAGCAGGAATCAGTCGCAGGATGTAAGTAATGCATTCATTACCAAACAAAAGCATAGGACACAAAATGTCTGTACAGAAAGTGGCCTAGATCCCCTACATTATCTACCACTTTTCTCCTGGCTTATTGCCTCAGATCACACAAATAGCTGCATGGGAGTCCCTTCACAGAGGAGGAAGAATTCAAATATTGGTACATGGATGAATAAACTCAGCAGCTTATGCACATTGAAAATGGATGACATTGTACTATAGCCCTATTTAGAAATGACATAGAGAGACAGTGATGAGGGAAAATCCTCCAAGAGTGCTGAATTCCAGGTGTTACATCTGGTCTTCTACTTTGGAGGTTCTATTATTTAGGATATATGATCCAGTGAGACACAGGGTTTTAGAGAAGTACACGGGAGAAGATACCATGTAAATTTTATGACAGGGCCTAAAGAAGAATCGCAATATAGACACCTATTTTTCCATAGCAAGTTAGTTACATTGGAAGCAGAGAACTAAATACCTTTCAAAAAACTGTTCCTACTATGCCAATTGGCCCAGGTCCTGAGGTTAGAATGTATATGGATTCACAGGCTGGTTGCTGAATGGAACGAGAAAGAGATATTGGAAGACTGGGTAAAAAAACATCTGTAGAAGAAACATATGAATGGACCTATAAGAATGATCAGGTGTGAAGATCTGTATCACATGTTAATATCTACCAGAGAGCATATATCAAAGTTGAAGCTACAATCAACCAAGTAAACAAAATGACTCAGTTGGTATGCTGCAGCCAGCCTCTGCATTGGCCACACTTATGCTGATACAGTAGGGTCATTTACAAAGTAGCTACGTTGCTAAAAGGACCATTATGCATACATGCCAAAGCAAGGGTTCCCTGTTCCCAAAGCCGATTTATCTATTACTGCTGCCCTAACTACAAGAAATAGATACATACTAAGTCCTCTATATGTCACCATCTTTTAAAGAGAACATAGACACTTGGCAAGTTGACTACATTAATCCCTTTCATCCTGGAAGAGATAGCAATTGTCTAAAGTGGAATACAATTATATTCTTTTTTTTGAGAGAGAGAGAGTCTCACTCTGTCACCCAGGCTGGAGTGGAGTGGCGTGATCTCGACTCACTGTAACCTGGGTCTCCAGGGCCCAAGTGATTCTCATGCCTCAGCCTCCCGAGTATCTGAGATTACAGGAGTGTGACACCACACCTGGCTAATTTTTGCATTTTTAGTAGGGATAGGGTTTCACTATGTTGCCCAGGCTGGTCTCGAACTCCTGGTCTCAAGTGATCTGCTCGCCTCAGCTTCCCAAAGTGCTGGGATTACAGACATGGGCCACTGCGCCTGGCTGGAATAGAATACAAATATATTCTTGATATGAATTTCCCTTACCTGTCCACAAGACCTAAATCAGCACTACTGTCCTAGAACTCACAGAACATGTAATCCCTTACACAGGATCCCACATAACCAATGGACTCACTCTAGAGCAAGAAGGTTGTATCATGTTCTGGCACTATCTGGAAGCTAATGACTTCATATGATGTTGGAATAACCTAATGAAGGTACAGCTGAGACATCAGCTACAAAATGATGCCCTATAAGGATGAGACACTTTCAGCCAGGATTCAATGTGCACTCTCAATCAATCATGATTGTACATTATTGTATCTACAGTAAAGTGTATGAGGCCAGGAACTAAGTAGAATTCACTGTGCCTTAATTGATGAATTTGTGATATTCTTTTTCACAACTCTAGGTTCTACAAGTTTAAGTCCTGTCTTCAAGATTGCAAAAGTCAATCTCACATACAGATGAATAAAAAAGGTTATTTGCTATTGTGAAGATTTTCAAAGACTGCCCAGCCAAATGTAGAACAAAATATGAGTGTCTAAGAAGCTACACTGACTATGCTTTAGAATAATAGGTCATTATACCTGTGGAGGAAGCTTCAGAATAATCTTATCTGATCTTCTGTATTTATCAATGAAAAGATTAAAGGACCAGGAAGTCTGGGGATTTTTCTCATGTTGCATGACTAGCTACGGATATAAGAGTAAGTATAAATTTACTATGTTAATTCTCTTTAAATGTATATATTGACTTGATTGGGACACTTATTTGAAAAGTTCCATATGAAAAAATTGTATTCCGTACTATTTTTTCTAATTAATTGTTTGTGTTAAGGAAGGTAAAGGAAATGTGTAATCAGGATAAATTTTTTAGTTTTAATTAAACTAATAAAAATAATAGTGGATACAACAGCAAGAAAACTTTCGAAATTGTTAATGAATTGAATAGTCAGCTAAAAATCCATTGTCACTTTATATTAGGGAAGCAAAGTGAAAAACTGTGAAGAATACATACAACCTCTTAAGTATTTCCCAGAGATCAATTTAAAGCAAAGAATAAGAAAGAAATATTTATTAAACTCTCCCAAGGGCATATAAACAGAAGAAATTGCAAAGAAAAAATTAATTAAATCTTTTCAAGCAGATTAAATTCAAGAGCTCTTCTAAGACAGTAATTTCTTATTATAATGTCTGGAGAACAGGAAGAACGAGGAAGAAAGCAAAATCCTTTGGGTAGCTGTTGAATTTTTTTCAATCCCATGTTAATGGGGGTAGAAATGGCGAGGAGAAGGAGAGTAAGGATACAGATCACAGACTGGCATTTTCAAAGTTGTAAGGATTTTTAGTTAGGTTTAAATTTCCCCAGGGAACAGATGACCGTGTTTTTGATGACCTGTGAGATAATTTCCTCTTTTGTCTATGTTTTGGCGATGAGTAGAGTCACTGTATTCTGGGGCATCTTCCTAGCCTGCTTTGTGGCCTAATCTCCACTGTCTCAGATGAGTTCATGAGAGAGTATAAAAGTAGAAACGAGTCTTAGAGACCCTGAAGCTGTATGAGATGGCAGTACTCCATGAACAAACATAACTTGAAGTCAAACAAGATCAGTGGCCTAAGAGGTAGCTTACATGTGGCAAGTGCTGCCGTATTTATCAGAACTTTTGTATCTTCAATTTGAGCCTCATGTGAGAATTTGATAAAATCATGCGTGATGACCATAAAAAGCGATTAAAAAGTGAATTATTTTTAGTAAAGTTTCTAAAATCGGGACTATGTCAAGAAGGATAGCAATAGCTATTTGCAGTATAACTGATGTTGACTACCTCATATTTCTCATACCACTGCAACATTATATAGATATAATATATTAAATATATAAGATTATATATGTGACATATAATATGAATATATATGTCATACATAAAACCATATGATTTATGTATATTATTTATTCTTAGGTTTAAGTGAGAATACCAGGGAAATTGTTCTGTTTCAAGTTTAGGCTGATTTGTATATAACTACTTTGAAGGCATTCGGCTCATTCTGGCATGGTATCAGAGGAGAGAAAAATTACTTTGCCTAAAAATTACTTTGCATGACAATACATGTTAATTTATAAAAGTAGCATGAATTAGTTGGATTGCTTTTTACATAGAGGTTGAGGAAAGAATGATAAAGAGTTAAAGGAATAACTGTCCTATAATGTCCATGGAGTTGCATCAGAATAGGCTGACATATCCTGGAACCCCTTGCTATGGTGGCTTAAACTATTCTTAATTTCTTGAACCTTGTTGAAACTAATCTGAGCTGAGCGAATTCCTCTGTGACTGCATTACCTCGGTATATGCTGATGGAACAACAGAAATAACTTATAAAAATTCAGCTCTCTCACCCATGGATTTGTCTATCTATGCAGTGTCATGTATCCAGATATTTTGAAATATTATGAGTGACTGACATTTTCATTCCTCAACTAGAAACTCTGGTAGATCGTTGACCCAGACTTCATCTGAAAAAGCCCTTTTTCTGGACTAGAATCTTATTTTAGAATGATTGGCATACCTTAAAATCAAATATTTTTTGAATTGCTGTGTTACTAGTCTAATTCGGGAAACTAAGAGAAACCGTCAAAAATTTATAGACAAACTATGTTAAATCCTTAATATAAAAGTACAAACTTTAACCATTTTATAACTTATTAACTGCTGATGCCATCAAGTATCAATATAGAATATTTATAATTATTATTCTATATTATTTCTAATGTATTTTATAGTTATTGAATTTGCTGCAAATGACTTAAATTGGAGATTTTTAAAATGTTAGGCCCTTTACCATTAGCTTTAATTCTACTGTGAATGAGAGGAGAAAATACTTGAGATACTCTTTTAGAATGTAAGTTAATAAGGGAAGAAATCTTGATTTGTTGTCTTCTCTTTACACATGTATCTCAATGCTGAGGATAGTATCTTTCACATAGTAGGTGCTCTGTAAGTATTGCTCAAATTAATGAAGGGATAACAGGAACTGTGTATAACTCAGTAAGGATTGTAACATTGCCTATTCAAGAGGATCTAAGACATAGACAACTCTGAAGAGTACCTAAGACATAGACAACTCTGAAGAGTACATACATGTAGATGTACTCTAGAATTTTTGAAAGTGACATCAGGTGGTATACTTTTAGTTTTGTTTCGTTTATCATTTTGATGTAGAAAGAATAATGCAAAGGTCTAAGGGAATACTTGTCATGTAGCTTGTGAGACCCCCATCTCTAAAAAAAAATTTAAAAAAATTATCTGGGTTTGGTGGCATATGCCTGTAGTCCTAGCAACTCAAATGCTGAGGTGGGAGGATCACATCAGCTCAGGAGTTAAAGGTGCAGTGAGCTGTGATCGCACCACTACACTCCAGCCTGAGCAACAGAGTGAAACCCTGTCTCTAAAAAAAAAGAAAAATATTAAAAGAATATTTGTCACATATTCCAACTTAGAGTTGAATCAGGACAGGTTGCCAAGGCTGGGAACTTCTTGCTACAGAGGAGTGGTTTGAACATCCAAGCTTTGTGTTTTTTTTTAAATTTTTTTATTATACTTTAAGTTCTAGGGTACATGTGCACAAAGCAGGTTTGTAACATATGTAAACATGTGCCATGTTGGTGTGCTGCACCCATTAACTCGTCATTTACATTAGGTATATCTCCTAATGCTATCCCTCCCCACTCCCCCCACCCCACGACAGGCCCCGGTGTGTGATGTTCCCCTTCCTGTGTCCAAGTGTTCTCATTGTTCATTTCCCACCTGTGAGTGAGAACATGCAGTGTTTGGTTTTTTGTTCTTGCGATTGTTTGCTGAGAATGATGGTTTCCAGCTTCATCCATGTCCCTATAAAGGACATGAATTCATCCTTTTTTATAGCTGCATAGTATTCCGTGGCATATATGTGCCACATTTTCTTCATCCAATCTATCATTGATGGACATTTGGGTTGGTTCCAAGTCTTTGCTATTGTGAATAGTGCCACAATAAACATACATGTGCATATGTCTTTATAGCAGCATGATTTACAATCCTTTGGGTATATACCCAGTAATGGGATGGCTGGGTCAAATGGTATTTCTAGTTCTAGATCCCTGAGGAATCGCCACACTGTCTTCCACAATGGTTGAACTAGTTTACAGTCCCACTAAGAGTGTAAAAGTGTTCCTATTTCTCCACATCCTCTCCAGCACCTCTTGTTTCCCAATTTTTTAATGATTGCCATTCTAACTGGTGTGAGATGGTATCTCATTGTGGTTTTGATTTGCATTTCTCTGATGGCCAGTGATGATGAGCATTTTTTCATGTGTCTGATGGCTGCATAAATGTCTTCTTTTGAGAAGTGTCTGTTCATATCCTTCACCCACTTGTTGATGGGGTTGTTTTTTGCTTGTAAATTTGTTTGAGTTCATTGTAGATTCTGGATATTAGCCCTTTGTCAGATGAGTAGATTGTAAAAATTTTCTCCCATTCTGTAGGTTGCCTGTTCACTCTGATGGTAGTTTCTTTTGCTGTGCAGAAGCTCTTTAGTTTAATTAGATCCCATTTGTCAATTTGGGCTTTTGTTTCCATTGCTTTTGGTGTTTTAGACATGAAGTCCTTGCCCATGCGTATGTACTGAATGGTATTGCCTAGGTTTTCGTCTAGGGTTTTTATGGTTTTAGGTCTAACATGTAAGTCTTTAATCCATCTTGAATTAATTTTCATATAAGGTGTAAGGAAGGGATCCAGTTCCAGCTTTCCACATATGGCTAGCCAGTTTTCCCAGCACCATTTATTAAATAGGGAATCCTTTCCCCATTTCTTGTTTTTGTCACATTTGTCAAAGATCAGATGGTTGTAGATGTGTGGTATTATATCTGAGGGCTCTGTTCTGTTCCATTGGTCTATATCTCTCTTTTGGTACCAGTACCATGCTGTTTTGGTTACTGTAGCCTTGTAGTATAGTTTAAGTTTTTAAAAGACCTAGATATTCTTGTGGGATTTCATTGATGACAGATTACGTGTGACATTTTTTTTTTGAATGCAATAGAAATCTCCTTGTTTCATTGTATAAAGGAACTTTCTGGCTGTTCAATCAGTAACCTATCAAATATCCTGGTACACAAAATAAAATCTGAAACATAGTAAAGATGGACTAATTAGATAGTCTGAGCATATACACTTAACTTTTCCTCTTCTATGTGATCTCTTATGATGACTCTGCATGTGTGTGCATATTTTACACACATACACAAGTGTGTGTGTGTTTATGCATATATGAAAACACACCAGATTAATTTCCAATTTTATGGCAAGAAACAGGAATTCCAAAATTTATGAAAAATGTAGAAAAGGTATAAAGTCATTAATATCAGATAAATAAGGACAGAAAAACTATAACCCAAATATGACAAGTGAAGAGTGGAAATCCACAAAGCATGAGAGAGAGTACTAAGTCAGCTATCATAGTAATTAATTAAAGACAAAAATCCTAACCAGCTGGTCAAATGAGTCCAACTACTTTCTGTCCACAATCCCTAATACCCAATGGCAATCTAAAAACCAAAAGCTGTACCATAAATGATGTGAACTACTTGCTTGGGGTCAGGTTTAGTTCACACACAGATTAATGAGAAAGAAGGAGAGAGCTTCAGGAAGGTCTAGACAGGATAAGAAATGGAGTGGGGAGGTGGGAGAGAAGCCATTTCATTCATGGATGAAATTTACTTATGTTTTAAGTGCTGAAAGAAATTATTCCTTATTTTAGCTGCTAGAGGGTGTCCTAAGCTTTGATGCGAGCCTCATACTAATAGACCTTGAGTGAACTTAACAAAACCATTCTTCATTTTTTACACATAGCATTTGATTATCCCTTCTACTTAAACAAACTCATATCAGCAATCTAAACCAATCACTAAGAATCATAGGCTATTTGAAGGAAACAAATATTGTTAAAGAAAAAAAAATTAAGAAATCAGCCAAGGTGCCAAGAAAAGATGCTAAAAGGCAATCCAGGGAATAAAGGAGATTTTAATAAAATATATTTGCTAGTTATGAGAAATTTGAGAGATTATTGAAACCAGAAAACAACTATAAGGATTAAGAAAATGAAACAATCAGAAAGAATTATGGACAAATTGATAAATATTGCCTAAATTAAAAATAACTGACATAAGGCTGAAAGTGAAATCAAATAAATAAAACTCAAACAGAACATTAGAATACCAAGACAAGGGAATTACAGATAGCAATTTTTTTAAATGTGCTAAAAAGTTAGAAGATATTGAGGATTAATCTAAGAAGGCTCATATATTTTTAATAGAAGTACTGGTAAGTAGTAGGTAAGTAGTAGAGCAAGGATTTGAACCCAAAGCTTCATGCATGAAAATACTAAAAACTTTCAGAGCAAGACCATATCTAAAAAACAGAAGAAGGAAAATTATGTCGACATTTCATTAACAAAATTACATGTTGAAAGATGATGCTGCACTATTCACAGAGATTTAAGGAAAATTATTTTGAAACCAGTCAATCCATTATCCGAAATGTGAACAGAAC
The DNA here is from genome assembly GCF_000001405.40 of Homo sapiens. Taxonomy (NCBI): domain Eukaryota; kingdom Metazoa; phylum Chordata; class Mammalia; order Primates; family Hominidae; genus Homo; species Homo sapiens. The sequence goes on from NC_000002.12 coordinate 116,430,364, forward strand.
ATCTCAACTGTTAATTTTAAAGACATAATAAAAGTTCAGAATTTGCAAAGAGTAAGAAATTTAACGTAAGAAATCTAAAACCCATAGGCTTTCTCTGAAAGAATTAGCACTGAAGGAGTATACTACAGCCAAAGAAAATAATGTAATAAAATATAACATTTTAAACATAGTGAGATTATAGAAGCCACTAAAATATATGTTTAATAATTTGGAAGTACAAATAACATATTCATAATGTATACCATTTATACTTATGCAACATAATCACATAATGATAAAATATAAATAAGCATTTATACATAAATAAAAAAATTATTATTAACTGCGATGAAACAATCCCAGATGAGCTCAACATGGGAGATGGGGTGGGGCAGGAGGAAATGAAAGCATGCTAGGTTATCTATTATTAGAAGGAAAATAGGGTGAAGAGTAAGAGGATGAAGGAATAATTGATTTATCTTGGTGATTCATAAAAATGTGTTATAAAAATATATGTACTTGAGAAATTAACCATTACAAAAATAGTTACATATTGAAAATTTAAATGTTCTTAATAAGATTCACTGATTATCAAACTATCGAAGAAAAGATATAAAAGATAAAACAACAACCTACAACCTTATTTTACTTTTAAGAGACTCATCTAAGATAAAATTTAAAAAAAAATAGGAGAAATAATATATATGCCAGCAAGTGCTAACGAAAGAAAGCTAATGTTAAAATGTTGATGAAACTCCAAACAGACTTTAATTCCATCATGAAATTCGGTATTAACAAAAGGTAATGCTAAGAAAATATAAATCATTAAACTTTAATCAGGTAAGACAAAAGCTTCCAAATATATAAAGCAGAAGCAGAAAGTGAGACATTGCCAATTTTAGAAACACATTGGTAGAATTTAACACAAAATTTTCAGAAATCAACAAAAGAACAAAAAAATAAGGCAGAGGATTTGAATGACACAATAAAAGTAGTTTAGCCATTTATTCAACAAAGGTTTTTGAGCACTCACTGTGTGACAGTTACTCTTTTGAGTGTTCTAGATTGTGACAGTAAAAAAGAAAAGTCCAGATCTAAAGATTTTAGCTTCTCATTTTTATAGGGAAAGACAGACAATGGAAAAAATAAATTAAGTACAGCACATATGACAAGGTAGTAAGTATTTGAAGGGAATGAGGAAAGTCAGCCTGGGTGGGTGAGCAGATTGCAGTTTCACTTGGGTTTGTTAGGGAAGGCTTCACTAAGAATAAGACATTGAGTAAATGCTCAAAGGAGGAGTAAGAGTTAAAGCTAATAGGAGATTTTGAGTAGAATAGTGACATGATCTGGTTTACATAAAATTGCATGACTGGGTAATTTGGTGGGAAAAATAAAATTAAATGTAAGTAAGGATGGAATGTCAGGAATGCATTGGAAGCCTATAGTAATAATTCACGTAAAACATTATAGTGGTTTGGACCAGCTTGCATCAGTAGAAATAGCTAAAAATGGCCAAAGAGTAAATCTACATAGAAAATAAAACAAAATGGATATACTGATAGATAGGATGGGCAGCCTGGTTTGTTTTCTGTATTTATATCTTAGTCAATATTCTTAATTCCTGTGTCTGGCTATTATTCCACAATTTTGTGACTACTAAAAGGCATTCCAAATATCTTCTAATATTCATAAATGCATAATAAATAGGAATGATGTATTATATAAAACCAAAAGCTTAGTGTATTAGTCTGTTTTCATGCTGCTGTTAAAGACATATCTGAGACTGGGCAATTTACAAAAGAAAGAGATTTAATGGACTTACAGTCACACAAGGGTGGGGAGGCCTCACAATCATGGCAGAAGGCAGGAGGAGCAAGTAGCATCTTACATGGATGGCAGCAGGCAAAAAGAATGTGCAGGGAAACTCCTGTTTTTAAAACCATAAGAGCTCATGAGACTCATTAACTCTCACAAGAACAGCACAGGAAAGACCTGCTCTCATATTTCAATAATCTCCCACCAAGTTCCTCCCATGACATGTGGGAATTGTTGGAGTTACAATTCAAAATGAGATTTGGGTGGGGACACAGCCAAACCATATCATTCACCCCATCCCCTCTCAAATCTCATGTCCTTACATTTCAAAACCAATCATGCCTTCCTAATAGTCTTCCAGAGTCTTAACTCATTTCAGCATTAACTCAAAAGTCCACAGTCCCACATCTCATCTGAGACAAGGCAAACCCCATTCACCTGTGAGCCTGTAAAATCAAAAGCAAGTTAGTTACTTCCTAGATACAATGGGAGTACAGGCCTTGAGTAAATATAGCCCTTCCAAATAGGAGAAATTTTCCAAAACAAAAAGGGCTACATGCCCCCTGCAAGTCAGAAATCCAGTGGGGCAGTCAAATCTCAAAGCTCTAAAATGATCTCCTTTGACTCCATGTCTCATATATGGGTAACACTGATGCAAGAGTTGGGGTTCACATGGTCTTGGGCAGCTCTGCCCTCACGGCTTTGCAGGATACAACCTCCTTTCTGGCTGCTTTCATCGGGGGCTGGCATTGGGTGTCTGTGGCTTTTCCATGAGCACGGTACAAGCTGTCAGTGGATCTACCATTCTGGGGTCTGGAGAATGGTGGCCCTCATCTCGCAGCTCCACCAGGCAGTGCCCCACGGGGGACTCTTTGTGAGGACTCTGACCTCACATTTCCCTTCTGCACTGCCCTAGTGGAGTTTCTCAATGAGAGTACTGCACCCGCAGCAAACTGCTGCCTGGGCATCCAGGCATTTCCATACATCCTTTGAAATCTAGGTGGAGGTTCCCAAATGTCAATTATTGACTTCTGTGCACCTGCAGCCTCAACACCACATGGAAGCTGCCAAGTCTTGGGGCTTTAACACTCTGAAGCCGCAGCCTGAGCTGTACCTTGGCCTCTTTTAGTCATGGCTGGAATAGCTGGGATGCAGGGTGTCTTATCCCTAGACTGCACACAGCAGAGGGACCCTGGTCCCAGCCAAGGAAACCATTTTTTCCTCCTAAACTTCCAGGCCTGTGATGGGAGGGGTTGCTGCAAAGGTCTCTCATATGTCCTGGAGACATCTTCCCCATTGTCTTGGGGATTAATATTTGGCTTATCATTACTCATGCAAATTTCAGCAGTCAGCTTGAATTTCTCCTCAGAAAATGGGATTTTCTTTTCTATTGCATTGTCAGGTGGCCAATTTTTTGAACTTTCAGGCTCTGCTTCCCTTATAAAAGTGAATGCTTTTATGCTTTTAACAGCACCCAAGTCACATCTTTAATGGTTTGCTGCTTAGAAATTTCTTCCACCAGATACCCTAAATCAACTCTCTCAAGTTTAAAGTTCCACCAGGCTCTAGGGCAGGGGCAAAATGCTGCCAGTCTCTTTGCTAAAACATAACAAGAGCAAATGTTGTTCCAGTTCCAAGCAAGTTCCTCATCTCTATCTGAGACCACCTCAGCTTGGACTTTATTGTCCATGTCACTATCAGCATTTTAGACAAAGCCATTCAACAAGACTCTAGCAAGTTCCAAACTTTCCCATATTTTCCTGTCTTCTTCTGAGCCCTCCAAACTCTTCCAACCTCTGCCTTTTCCCCAATTCCAAAGGTGCGTCCACGTTTTCAGGTATCTTTTCAGCAGCACCCCACTCCAAGTACCAATTTACTGTATTAGTCTTTTTTCATGCTGCTGATAAAAACATACCTGAGATTGGACAATTTAAAAAAGAAAGCAGTTCCACATGGCTGGGGGTCCTCACGATCATGGTGGAAGGCAAGGAGGAGCAAGTCACATCTTACATGGATGGCAGCAGGCAAAACCAGAGAATGAGCAGAAAAACTGTTTGTAAAACCATGTGATCTCATGAGAGTCATTCACTGCAATAAGAACAGTGTAGGAAACACCCACCCCTGTAATTCAGTTACCTCCCAGTGAGTACATCCCACCACACATGGGGATTGTTGGAGTTACAATTCAAGATGAGGTTTGAGTGGGGGCAAAGCCAAACCATGTCATTTAGTAAATTATATATATATAAAAAATAACTTATATTTGGTTGTCATACTTTAAATGACAGTGTAACAAGTCAATTGTAAAAAAAAATGTGTTCACTAGGATATTTTATTTTAAAAAACTGATCTAAATACATTGAAGGTTAAGGATAAAATAAAAATAAATAACATTATTACCTATTTATTTCCTTATTACATGCCAGGGAATGCAGGCAATAACTTAAAAATGAGTGATAATGAAAGCACGACTTTGGGATATGGCTGATGAATTACTCAGAGGAAATTTAGTGTTAAATTAACTTATTACAAAATAAAGACTAAAATTCAATTCTCACATGAGAAAGAAGAAAAAGGAAGAACCACATAAGCACAAGATAAAACATGATTAAATATTTAAAACTAAAATAAATGTATTTTTTTAAAAAGAGACTACCAAAAAAATTATTGACATAAGTAAAAGCTGGTTATTTCTAAAAAAAAGCAATATTACTAAAATACAGAAAAGTGCTTATTTCTGTTGAAAAATAAAATGATGAAATAAACAACAGCAAAACATAAAAAATGGATAGTCTTATTTTTGGATACATATGTGATCAAATAAAAGAATGTGCAAATTTACATCATGTATTTGAAACTCTAAACTTAACATATGATTTCCTGGTGAAATGTTATTTAACAATACTGATGTAAAAGAAGTAATAAAGAAAAAACAAAGAATAAACTTTAAAGGTGGTCAAATACTGTTGTGATAGGCAGAACAATTGCATACCAAAGACGTTCACCTTCTACTCCCTGGAGCCTGTGAATATGTTACATTACATGTCAAAAACAGGGTACCAGATAGAAATAAAATTTCTAATCAGATGACTTTTAAAGTAGAAAGATTCTAATGAACTATCCAAGTGGGGCCAATATAATCATAAGTCTTTAAATGTGGAAGGGGGAGGAACAAAAGTTGATGGCTAGAGTGAAGGCTAGAATGGTTAGAATGATGATGAGAAAATTATACAAACTATTCTTGCCTTGAGGAAGGAAGAGTGCCATAAAGGGGAAATTCAGGCAGCCTGAAGACGTTGGGAAATATAAGGAAACTGATGCTCCCTGATGTGTTTTGGCTGTGCCCCCACCCAAACCTCATCTTGAATTGTAGTTCCCATAATCCACACACATTGTGGGAGGGACACAGTGCGAGGCAATTGAATCATGGGGGCAGTTACCTCCATACTGTTCTCATGATAGTGAATGAGTTCTTATGAGATCTGATGGTTTTATAAGAGGCTTTTCCCGCACCTTTGCTTTGCACTTCTCCTTACTGCTGCCATGTGAAAAAGGATGTGTTTGCTTCCCCTTCTGTCGTGATCATAAGTTTGCAGAGGCCTCTCCAGTCCTGTGGTACTGTGAGTCAATGAAACCTCTTTCCTTTACAAATTACCCCATCTCTGGTATGTCTTTATTAGCAGCGTGAGAACGGACTAATACACTCCCCTAGAGGCTACAGGAGAAATGCAACTCTTGATTTTAACACAAAGTTATTTCAAGCCATCAAGTTATCACAATCCATTAAAGCAGCAATGGGAAACTAATGCAACCCATAACAAAAGCACCAGTTCCATATGGTTAGGATGTAAATTCTATCATACTTCAAGGGATAGTTAAACACCATTCATATAACTTGTTGTAAAGCCCAGGAAAAGCTGGTTAGCATCCTGTAGTATTCAAAAAGGATATTTTATAGATCGATTGTGACATCAAAACCAAACATAGTTGACAGAATGACAGGTAAAGAAAAAAGGGAAGCAGATGCAGTAGGGAAAAGAAAGAGAATGATGAAGAGAAAGAAAAATTATCAGCCAAGCACATGAATAATATAGTTGAAAAAATAACACACTAAACATGGTTTACAAGGAAGTGTAAAAATATTTCAATATTCAGGACTTTATTAATGAAATTCATGGCATAGGGAAATTAAATAATTTTTTCACATAGACAACTGGAAAAGCCTCACTGCTGTCTTTGCAAGTGTAAACCATTTACCAGAGATTCTTGTGAATAAAACTAGATAAATTATTAAGATGTTTAATTTTAGAAGAAAGGTAGAAAATTGTTGTTTAAAAAAATTATATGAGGCCAGGCGTGGTGGCTCACTCCTGTAATCCCAGCACTTTGGGAGGCTGAGACAGGTGGATCACGAGGTCAGGAGATCGAGACCTTCCTGACTAACCCAGCGAAACCCCGTCCCGTCTCTACTAAAAGTACAAAAAATTAGCCGGGCATGGTGGTGGGCATCTGTAGTCCCAGCTACTCGGGAGGCTGAGGCAGGAGAATGAAGTGAACCCAGGAGGCGGAGCTTGCAGTGAGCCGAGATCGCACCACTGCACTCCAGCCTGGGCAACAGAGCAAGACTCCATCTCAAAAAAAAAAAAAAAAAAAAAGAAAAAAAATTATATGATCATATACTCAAAAAATACCATTTAAGAAAATGTTATATAAAAGCTAATGTGGAGCTGGACGTGGTGGTTCACACCTGTAATCCCAGCACTTTGGGAGACCAAAGCAGTTGAATCACCTGAGGTCAGGAGTTCGAGACCAGCCTGGCCAACATGGTAAAACCCCATCTCTACTAAAAATGCAAACATTTGCCAGGCATGGTGGCGCATGCCTGTAATCCCAGCTACTTGGGAGGCTGAGGCAAGATAATTGCTTGAACCTGGGAGACAGAGGTTGCAGTGAGCCGAGATTGTGCCAGTACACTCCAGCCTGGGCAACAGAGTGAGACACTGTCAAAAAAAAAAAAAAAAAAAAAAAAGCTAATGTGACTAACCTATTTATGAATGAAAACAACATTATATATATCAAGTAATATTAAAATAAAGAAACAACAATATGAACTACAAATAATATAAGTAAAATAAATGAACAAAATTATATTAAAAAGATTTTTAATTTCTAGTATTTAAGTGCAATTAAAGTGAGATTGTTACCACTCAACATTTTGGCAAACATTAAAAAGTTTAATGTACTTACACATTTGTAAGAGTGTAGTATAATACATAGCAATATCTGATGGGAATTTATATCCTAAACATCTACCTATAAAGTGATGTATAATTACAGAATACCTATATTGTCACAATTTAGCAGTTTAAAAAATTAGGCAGATCTATATGAATGGATAGAAACATTTTTAAATAAATAGAAACAAGTTTCAAAGTTATGTTTGTGCATGTGTATGTCCACATATATAAAGAACTACCCTGAAGGAGACACAAAAATGTTCATAGTACTCCTCAATTAAGAAGGGAATCAGGTAGAGGAAACAAGTAAAGGAGAGCTCAACTACTTGCATTTTCTGCAAAGTGATTGATTCTTTATATATTTTGATATAATGATAAATTAATATCTAAATGCAATTAACACTACATTGGTGTTCATGGTCCAACTTGGGAAAATAGCAAGCATTTTAAGCATATTACAGATAACTTAGTACAGAGGTTTGGTTACATAGTTGCTGGAAGACCAGGGGAGCCAATTAGAGAAAAGGAGACAACTCAGAGATCTCCAACTATAGAAACCCACTACTGCATTAGGATCAACAGGAAAAACAGAGAGAGAGAGAGAGAGAGAGAGAGAATGGTATTACTAGATTTCAGGGAGTGAAGTCACCCGGCAGAAACTGGAATAACCACAGCAGAGATTGGTGGTGTAAACAAGATACCATGCTGTCGTAGATACTGCCTCGGCATATAGACTGGAGTTCATATGCTCTAGCTCTTTCCTTTTCCTCTCTCCTCTGTATCATGCTCTGAAATCACCTGCCAGTGTCTCCCATTGGCTGAAACACAAATGGCAGCCGCTGACAAAATAACTAGGAAAACTGCTTCCAGAGGTCATCCCACCTGGAACACCTAGCAATATATGGGAAGAATAAGGAACAAGTTTGAAGGATGTTCAATTGGAAGATATCTAGTAGACTGTCAGAGAAAATAGTCTACATAGCCCTAATAAAATTAAAAACAACTATAGATATTATATATGTGCCTACTGGTGTGAATATTGCTCTTGTTTTCTAATATGAAAATTTTTGCCATACGAAACAGCTTTTAAATATTTAATACCTTATTCAGAACTTGAGAATTCTAACCGCATAAGAACTAGCAATGATTTCAGTCAAGTAGATATTTTATGTATTCTCCCATGAATCACACTATGAAAATTTCTGATTTCTCTCATTCTGGGGTTAGATTATGATGTAAATTATTCTGGGAAGAAGCCGCACACAAAAGCCATCAAGTGTTTCAAGAGGAAACAGCAGGCTCTCAAAAATCTATGCAAAGTCTAATTGAATCTAGGGAAATACATGCCTGATTAGGTTCATTTATTGGACTCTGAAGTTGTAAGAATGATAGCTTAAATCATTCGCATTGAATAGAGACAGAAAACAGTTTTTTAAAGTCATTTTGAATATACAAATATAATAACTTGCTCATTAGTTATCAAGAAGCTACAATTAGGAATGTCCATTTGAGTACTGAATATTTTAGACTAAAACACTGTTTACATCATACTTTATGTATGCCAAGTAAAGTCTTTACATGAGATGGTCTAATCAAGGAATGATTTGGTCAATTTCTTATGCCTGTAACCATGAACTATGTGAGTTTTCTCTAATCTCTACTTCCAGCTGTGCCATGCGAATCCAACCTGCAAGAAACTGCAGAACTAATTTTACTAAATACTTGCTTTTACATTGATGTTTCTTTATAAGGATAAACACAAAACTCTTCAGACTTATATTCAAGATACATTATGAATCAATTTTCATTCTGTCTTTTTATGCATTAAATCTTATATATTAATAAAAGTACTGGTAGATTTTTCCAAATGATGACAACTTTCTATATTTCCTGCTGTTTTTGTAAGACTACTTTTGCTTTAGAAGACTTGCTCAACAATACTCAGATACTACAACTATGTAGACCAAAATCAATCCATCACCTAATCCAATAAACCTTTAAAGTTTATGAAGCATTTTTGTATACATATTTTCAAGTGTTCCTCCAAACCCTTTTATAAGGTATGTTGGGTGGGGGTGAATATGAGATTATTTGGAGCAGATTTGACAGGAAGTAGTATATTAGGAAATGCTGAGGAGGATGAGCCTTTTAGCAAAACACATCGTTTCTCTCCTTTTCCTTCCCACTAGAATTAAAAAAAAAAAAAAAAAATAGAAAGCAGGAGCTAACAATCCATAACCTTCCTGGCAACTAAAAGGGTTAAAATTCAAGACAGAAGCTAAAATGAAGAAGTTGAGGCAAGACTTGTATATAAAGACATCATTTTGTGACTGGCAGAGAGAAAATGACTACAAAGCCCAGACAAATTCCCAGACATGCATAGAAAAAGTTACTGTATTTGTTTATTTAGAACACTAACATAAACTTGGAAAGAGGAAGAAGCAGTAATCTCCTTAGGCATTACACTGCTATAAAGAGAAAAAAAGTACACTTCCCAAATTAAAGAAAATGTGAAGCAACTCCATTTCTACCTGTAGTGCCAACCCCATGACATCTCAGTTCTTCACAACCTTGGTTTTCAATCTGGAAATAGTTTATTGAGGGTGAATTTTATGTCACTGTGTTTGAAGGAAAACATAAAAAGACACTGTTACCCTGCAATGACTTCCTACAAAACTCAAAATACCCTCCTGTCTATGCCTGTCTTCCACAGAGGCATCCCAGATGACTTCATTGTAAAAACAGCTGCATTTGTATGCTCAGATATATCATTTAAAAATCAGACTGCACCCTTCAGAAAATTTCCAAGAACAAGAGTTTAACTGGCAAATTTTTATTGATTTTAAGATCCTGGAGTCTGTGATCCAAGTACACATCAAGTGATGCCAAGAAATCAGGAGGAAAAATGATGAGTAAGCTGTATGTGATGGGCATGAACAGTTAAAGAGTGAAGCCTGCTCCAGAACGTGAAAATCTGTACTAGAATTACATGGATCTTTGGTAACGAGGATATGTATAGTAACCACCACACAGTAAACACAAAGGTAATATCTTTAAAATAGTGGTGACGTAATTTTAAGATGATGATGAGGTTAGAAGACGTACTTCCTGTCCTTCCTCGAGAAGTTAGCCTGGTTTAAGATAAAGGGAGGATTCAGACATCTAATTCCCACTAAAAGGAAAACATACAGGAAAGCTATAGCTCTTTATTAGTATAATATTTACTAATTTATTAAGTATATCTATTAAGTGGGGCACTATTCCATGCATCAGAGGTATAGAAATAAGCAGATTTGTGCAACAGAACTTCAAACACAAATAGAAGTAGAAATAAACAGACATAAAAAACAGACAAAAATAGAAATAAACAATTTGATTCATATAAAGAACAATGTTTATGGTGAAAGGAATGAACTTGTACTAACTGTGTAACTGCAGAAGGAGAACTTGACAGTACTAGGATTTGAAGTAACTAATAAATGTGGAATAGCTTTAAGAAATAATGTTGTTCATTGATAAAGAATAAGCACAATACAACTGGGTATTGGATTCTAGGTATATTTGTTTTTCCAGTTTGTGGTATCATCTTAGGAGAAGACCAATGTCACTCATTTTGATTCTTTTCACAGGTTACTTTTGTGGTTCTGATTTTCCCCTCCTTAAAAGATTTTAATGTTATCCCTTTATCCCTAGTACTCTGAAATTTCGCAAAAACTTGTCTTAACGTGGGTCTTATTTCTATTACTGTATTTGTTCTACTTTATTTGGAACATTTTTTGTTTCAAGTTCAGGAATTTTGACCATTAATTCTGTGAAAATATGATTACTTTCACTTTGTTCAATCTATTAGTTTGATGTTGCAATCAAAATTACTTAATACCCTTTTCTCTCTTGGTTTATATCTTCTTGACTCTCTCCTCCATTTCTTCACAAATATGATCCATACATATTCACTTTAAATTGTTCTGTTCAATTTTATTGTCTGCTACCATATTTTCACTTTGAAAACTCTTGTTTTATGGATGTCCTTTTATAGTGTCATGTTTCTATTCCATGGTTTCAACACATTGTCTTATTTCTGTGAAGATACTAATTTTTAAATAATCTTCTGATCCCTGTACTGTTTCTATTTATTCCATGTTGTCTTGTTTTCTGTTTGTTGCTATTTCTGTAGACTGGCTAAAAATCTAACCACCCTGGCAATACTGACTTCCGGTGAGGATGCCTAGCAGCAGGAACTCATCTATTGTTGGCAAAAAATGCAAAATGGTATAGCCACTTTTGAAGACAGTTTGGGAGTTTCTTATACATCAAGATGTAGCCTTACCATAGCACCCCAGAAGTCCTGCTGTTCGGTTTTTTACCCGATTAATTTTAAGATATATGTACACAAATGCCTATGTATGAATGTTTATAATGGTTTTCTTTATCATTACCAAACACTATAAAAAAACAAGATGCCTTTTTATATGCTGGGGATGTTTCTCCTTTCCAAATCTCACGTTGAAATCTGATTCCAAATGTTGGAGGTGGGGCCTGGTGGGAGGTCATTCCATTAAGGGGATGCACCTCTAATGAATGGTTTAGCACCATCCTCTTACATGATAAATGAGTTTTTGCTCAGTTTGTTCACACAAGATCTGGTTGTTTAAAAGTTCGGCACCTCCTCACACCACTCTCTTGCTTTTGTGCTTACCATGTTGACATGATAGCTCTCTGTTAACTGCTGTCATGATTGTAAGCTTCCTGAGGCCTCACCAGAGGCAGATGCCATCGTCATGCTTCCTGTAAAGCCCACAGAACCATTAGCCAATTAAGTATTTTTTCCTTATAAATTACCTAGCCTCAGGTGTTTCTTTCTTGACTCACTGCAAACTCTGCCTCCCAGGTTAAAGTGATTCTCCTGCCTCAGCCTCCCGAGTAGCTGGGACTACAGGCGCCGGCCACCACACCCGGCTAATTTTTCATATTTTTAGTAGAGATGGGGTTTCACCGTGTTAGCCAGGATGGTCTCGATCTCTTGACCTCATGATCTGCCTACCTTGGCCTCCCAAAGTGCTTGGATTATAGGCGTGAGCCACCATGCCTGGCCCAGGTGTTTCTTTATAGCAGTGTAAGAATGGCTTAACACATCCTTCAATAGGCAAATGAATAAACAAACTAAGGTATACCCATATAATAAAATACAATTCAGAATTGTTTTAGTCTATTTTGTGCTGATACAACAAAATACCTGAGACTCAGTAATTTGTAAAGAACTGACATTTCTTTCTGACGTTTTGGTGTCTGGGAAGCCCAAGATCAAGGTGCTGGCATCTAGTGAGGCCTTCTTGCTGCATCCTTATTTAGGACAAGGAGAAACTGGAGCCGAAGATCAAGCTAGCAAGCCACAGCTGAATGCTTCAAGAAGCCTATTTTATAGAGCCTTAATCCCATTAATGAGAAAGGAGCCCTCATGACCTAATCATCTTTTAAAGGTCCCACCCCTTAATACCATCATATAGGCAACACCTGGATCTTGGAGCAGACACATTCAAACCATAGCAAGCGTTTAAAAGTAATAAGATAAAAAGAAATATTAAGACACAAATGAATCTTACGTGCATATTGCTAAGTGAAAAAAGCCAGCCTGAAAAGGCATGCTTCCATTAAATGACATTCTGGAAAAGGCCAAGCTATTGAGATGATAAACATGTTAGTGCCTGTCATGGATGACACGGGAAGGGATCGAACAGGTAAAGCACAGGACAGTGATGCTAATTTCATATGATACAGTGATAGTGGATACATGATATGTTTATCAAAACGTATAGAACTTGACACAAAAAACCTTAATGTGTGCAAATTAAATAAACGTTTAGGATCTTGAGGGATCTCATGATAAAATGGAAAAGGAGACGATGGAACCTCACTGGATTATATGTGTGAAACAAACTTGCTGTAGGGGTTAAAGAGAAAAGGTAGAAACCTATGTATATTTGGAAATAAGTAGAGTCTCTAAGACTAAAGGCAAAATAAGCTGACCATAAGCACTGTACTCCCGTTGAAGAAGTCATTTGCACAGCAATATGAGTTAACAATTCTGAAACCACAATACTTGAATAAAAGAATTTAATATTTAAGTAAATTGGTGGTGGGTAGTAGAAGCCAAGTTTCTGACTGTTGTGTGTGAAGTTTCACAGAAGAAAGAGGTGAGGGTGGAACAATCCATGTGACAATGAATTTGATTTAGAGAAACAAGTATGAACTCCTGTTGTGTTTAACACAGATACACATAGTTTCATATAGAAATATGTATATATGTATATATTTATATATAATCTGCATAATATACACACATATATTTCCCTGTCAGCTTACAGGGCCTGGAAGCAACAACACTCTCATTAAAAAGAAGTATACCTAGAGACAGATCTTATTTTCAAATACTATTATCTAATAAAAGGAACCAGAAGCGCTAAGAGAAATGACTGACTCTAGGTTTGGGGCAGGATATATACAAGATGAACAGAAAGCATTTTGTACAGCTAGAAATTAAGAAAGTGTTAAATACACACACACTGTGTTAGTTTGTTTACATACTGTAATATAGAATTATCAGTGACTGGGTAATTGGTGAAGAGGTTTAATTGACTTACGGTTCAGCAGGCTGTATAGAAAGCATGGCTGGGAGGCCTCAGAAAACTGACAATCATGGCAGAAGACAAAGGAAAAGCAATCACATCTTAACATGGTAGAGTGGGAGAGACAGAGCAAAGGAGGAAGTGCTACATACTTTTAAACAACCAGATCCTGGGAGAACTCAATGACACAAGAACAGCAAGGAAAAAATCTGCCCCTATGATCCAATCACCTACCACCAGGTCCCTTCCCCAACACTGGAAACTACAATTCAGTATGAGATTTGCATGGGGACACAGAGCCAAATTATATCATTCAGCACCTGGTGCCTCCCAAATCTCATTTTCTTCTCACATTTCAAAATAAAATCATGCCTTCCCAACAGTCACCCAAAGTCTTAACTGATTGTAGCATTAACTCAAAAGTCCAAGTCCAAAGTCTCATCTAAGACAAGGCAAGTCTCTTTCACCTATGAGCCTGTAAAATCAATAACAAGTTAGTTATTTCCAAGATACAACAGGGATACAGGCATTGGGTAAATGTTCCCATTCCAAATGGGAAAAATTGTCCAAAACAAAGCAGCTACAAACCCCATGCAAGCCTGAAACCCAGCAGGGCAGTCATTAAATATCAAAGGTCCAAAATAATCTCGTTTGACTCCATGTCTGACATCCAGGTCACACTGGTGCAAGGGGTATGATCCCAAGGCTTTGGGTAGCTCTGCTCCTGTGGCTCTGCAGGGTACAGCCCCCAAAGCTGCTTTCACAGTCTCTCATTGAGTGCCTGTGGCTTTTCCAGGCACATGATGGAAGCTGTTGGTGGATCTACAATTTTGGGGTCTGAAGGCCAGTGGCCCTCTTCTCACAGCTCCACTAGGTAGTGCCCCAGTGTAAACTCTGTGTGGGGGTTCCAACCCCACATTTCTCTTGTGCACTGCCCTAGTAGAGGTTTTCCATGAGGGCTCCACCCCTGAAGTAGATTTCTGCCTGTACATCCAGGCATTTCCATACATTCTTTAAAATCTAGGTGGAGGCTCCCAAGCATCAACTCTTGCCCTCTGCGCACCCACAGGCTCAACACCACATGGAAGCTTCCAGGGCGTGGTGCTTGCACCCTCTGAAGTGATGGTCCAAGTTGTACCTTTGCACCTTTCAGCCACAGCTGGAGCTGGAGAGGCTATGATGAAGGCTGCCATGTCCTGAGGCTGCACAGAATAGCAAGGCCCTGGGCTGTTCCATGAAACCATTTTTTCCTCCTAGTTCTCCAGGTCTATGATGGGATGGGCTACCCTGAAAGTCTTTGAAATGTCTTGGAGGCATTTCCTTCATTGTCTTGGCTATTAACATTTGGCTCTGCTTACGCAAATTTCTGCAGCTGGCTTAAATTCTTACCTAGAAAATGAGTTTTTCTTTACAACCACATGGTCAGGCTGCAAATTCTCCAAACTTTTATGCTCTGCTTCCCTTTAAAATATAAGTTGTAGTTTCAGATATTTCTTTGTTCATGCAAATTAGCATGTGCTATTAGAAGCAGACAGGCCACATCTTGAATGCTTTGCTGCTTAGAAATTTCTTCTGTGAGATACCCTAAATTATCTCTCGCAAGTTTAAAGTTCCACAGATCTCTAGAGCAGGGGCACAATGTTGCCAGTCTCTTTGCTGAAGCATAGCAAGAGTGATCTTTGCTCTACTTCCCAATAAGTTCCTTATTTTCATCTGAGACCACCTCAGCCTAGACTTTACTGTTCATATCACTATCAGCATTTTGGTCACGGCCACTCAACAAGTCTCTAGGAAGTTTCAAACTTTCCCTCATCTTTCTATCTTCTTCTGAGCCCTCCAAAGTCTTCCAAATTCTGCCCATTACCTAATTCCAAATTCACTTCCACATTTTCAGGTATCTTTATAGCAAAGCTCTACTCCCAGTACCAATTTTCTGTATTAGGTTGTTCTCACACCGCCATCAAGCACTACTTGAGACTGGGTAATTTATGAAGAGAAGTTTAATTGACTCACAGTTCTTCTTACAATACAGGAAGCATGGCTAGGAAGCCTCAGGAAACTTACAAAAGTATATCTTACCATGGCAAAGCAGGAGACAGACAGCACAAAGGGGGAAGTGCTACACACTTTTAAATAATCAGATCTTATAAGAACTCTCTATCATGAGAACAGCAAGGGGGAAATCTGTCCTCATGATCCAATCAACTCCCATCTGGTACCTCCCCCAACATTGGGAATTACAATTCAACATGAGATTTTGGTGGGGACACAGAGCCAAATCATATTTCACACACACACACATGCACACACACACACACAAACACACACACACACACACAATGAAGGGGGCATGCCAAAGAAACACAAGAATTATTATTCAGGAGTCCATACTGATATAATATTTGACTAAATATAGAGAGAGTAAACAAATCTCTCATGCAGAAGAATTCTAGATAATTTATCTAGATTTCATTTTCAAGGAAGTAAAGCATAACTCCTTCCTTAAATATGCACTGTACCATAGTGACTTTCTTCTAAACAATGCATGGAAAAAAAGAGGAAAAGAGTAACTTTGCCATGAAGAAACCAGACAAATACTATCTGTGATCAAGGTTCACTTCAACAGTGACAAGTCTTGATAATATGAACCCTTGGAATGATGAAAATGATGTTTCACTTTTATATTTTTCCTTCTGTAAACACATACCCCAGTTTAATCATGAGAAACATGTCAGACAGGACACATATGAGGGACATTCTATAATACAAAGAAAGTCTGACAAATTATCATGGCCAAGAGTAGCCTAAGGAAACCTCATATCTAAATGTACAAAATGACATCTTGGATGGAATTTTAAAATAGAAAAAAAGTAGATTAGGTAAAAAGTTAGGAATCTTAATAAAGTATAGACTTTAGTTAATAATAATGTATCAATATTGGTTTCTCAATTGTGACAAAAGTGTTAGGTCAATGTAAGAAGGTAGTAATAAGGGAAAGTCTGGGTATATGGGAGGTCTTTGTACTGCATCATTTTTCCATAAATTAAAACTATTCTTAAATGTTTCTTTAAAGATACTACATGACAATATTAATTCTCACTTATACAATTTTTAAAAACTAAAACATTTGACTACTCACTCTTTTAGAGAAGCTATGTTGAAATAGGCACAAACCTGTACATCCCCTCAGGAGGTGAATTTAGCAATATCTAACTAAAACTACATAGGTTTTTTTACTCTTTGATCCCCCAAGCCTGCTTCTAAGAATTCACTCTGAGACATGTTTCCAGTAATACAAAAATAGTTTCCCAGAAAGTTTTATGTAGCATCATTTGTAATGGCAATTATTGGGAAGAAAAAAACTATTAGCCCATACATAAGATAATGTTTGAATAAATAATGGTACAGCTCATATAGTAGAGTACTATGAATCTGTGAGAATGAATGAAGATCTCTATGAAATAGAGTGAAAAGAGCATAGTCCATATATATATATGTAATACACTACAACTCAAGGAAATAAGGAAATGAACATTTTAAAATCAGTATCTATTTGTCCTTCCCTTGTGTTGCTGTTTTCCCAGATCCCTTAGAATGGGGGAAAGTATCCGGTTTTATATACCTACTCTTCATAGAAACTTTCAAATATCCCTTCTGATTTTCATTTAAATCTGAACTATGCTCGTATGCACCTAGTGTTTCTGAGAATTGCAACAGAAATAACCAGCTTCTTGTGGTTCTTCTCCTTGTAAGTTTCATAACAGTTTTCTGAGATGTGTCAAGTCAGTTATTGCTCATTTAATTGATTTTTTGAAATTGTTAAACCCTATCTGTGTCATTTTTATACCTGTTATTTTTCCTTACCTGTTATGGTCATTTAATGTCATTTTAGAAAGAAAAGGGATATATTTATATAATCAATAGAAAAGATCTGCCCACCTCTTATATCATTTCAAGCAAGATTTCAATATAATAATGATGTATGTTAAAAAGTATCTCACTTCAGTTGCTGCCGATAGAAATACTTAGAAGGATTTAATCTTAGCAGAGATATCAGAAGGAGGCGATTCAATAGTGGAAATAAATGAAGATAGCTGTTGAACAGGGTATTGTTAAAAAGTGAGATAGGGAAAATGGGGTTATTTGGGAACTATTTTGAAGGTACGTTATTGCACTTATTGATTGTATCTAGGGGATAATGAAAACGAAGGAACAAATACAACTCTTAATTTTCCAGTGTAAATAATGATTGAAGTTTCTTTCCTGAGAAGATGACTGGTAAATGAATATATTTGTGGGACTGAGTGTTAGAGGGAGTAGTATTTCAAGAACTACATTTTACATGTATTACATCCAAGTCCTGACTGATGAAATCATTTGCAGTATTATCAAAACAAGGCATCATAGCTAGATAGATACAACTAATTGATATCTACTCTAAGTTGTTCCGGTTCTTAGTTTAAAAACAAAATAAGATGTGCAGTCTTCTCAAACTGATTGGACAAAAAGATAACCTTTGGTCAAATAGCAGGTTAAAATAGACTCAAAAAAAGCTTAGCGTAATAATTTTCCGGGATGCCAGTTCAACAACTGGAATGCTGTTAATGAAATTATATGGCAGTTGTACCATCAGGGAAGTTATAAAGCTGAAAATTGGAAATAATTTTGGAGGAGACAAAAAAAAAATCTTTGGCTGCATACGTTTGCTCATAGCCTAAATTATTAATGAAAAACTTAATACTATAATAGGTGAGTGCCTACACAATATTCAGTCTTTTTTAAAGCTGATCAATTAAAAATACAAATAATTTCATTAACACATTGAATGTTGAGTATGCAAATCTAAATTGCTCATGATATTCCTAATGATATAATGATTAATGTATTCATTATGCATACATATACCATTCAAAGCTCTCTTGTGCTGAGTGGCAGCAGCTAGAAAAGGTACAAGTTTGCCTGAATTTCTACACAGGGATTTCTTCACAATTACACTCAGGTTGCTGATGATTCCTAAGTCTATATGTGGGTACAAGTGTTCTATAAAAACAAAACCATTTTTTCTTCTCTTCAGTGCTTGGTTGATTAAGTTAAGACAAATTTTTCCACCAGGAGCAGTTTGAGCAGTTCAAAAGAATTGATGTTATCTCTAGGACACATTTACCTTTTTATAATAATTATATATGTCTAGTTTACTCCAGTAAATGAATTAACTGACTATATACTGAGCTAGATGTGGCTCAGAGTTGAGTAACATACACTGCCTATCTTCAAAGAGACCCTTCAGTCATCAAATTTCATTGCAATTAGCCTCCAAAATCTAGTGAAATGGAATTTTGGCAGAGAAAGAAGGCAGGCAAAGAAAGGCATTTTGCACCAGCAGCTAACAGTTAACTCCCTCAGCTTTTACCAGTTAGTCTATATACTTCTTTCATGGAGGGGAAATGCTGGGTGTGAAAATAATCATATTTTCTGAAAACAATCCTCCAATACACACACTCGCCCTCCACCCAATCATTTGCCCCCTAGGTCTCCTTAGTGAGGTAGTGGGAGAAACAATTGGTGCATCATGTAAAGTTGTGAGTGCTCATTGATGACAGCCAACGAGAATGGATTTTCTGTGGAAATTCTGATTGCGATTGTAGCAATAAGCAGATATTGAGCACAGCAATTTTTCACGAAAGTATGGTGCCAATTTTTGACACACTGTCCTCCAAAAAGTCTATACCACTTTTATTTTTAAGTTCCAATTGAATGCTCTAAGGATGACACCAAAAACTGAGGTGCAATTCTTCATTGAATTCCCTGGCTTTCACTGGGCTTAGGGAACTAAAGTCATATTTGTATGCCAAAAAGAAGAAAGAAGTCCAAAGGAGCAAACTGAAGAGTGCCCTCCTATTTGGAAATATTTGTTCAATTATTCATTTTTAACAAGCCTCAAATGCAGACATGCAAACCAGACAAAACATGCCAGATGACTGTGTCTGTGGTAAATAATGTAATAAATGTCAGTCTCTACAGTTTTACCCACAATTTCATGTTTGTATTTTATTTCCCCTTCTAGCAAAAATGACAAAGTTAAAAGGAAATATGTATTGTGTGTCATCAGTGGTAATATATAAGAGCAGAAGTGCCTTACCATACATCAGCTCCAACATTACAAGGCAGAGGCAGAACCATTTCATTGAGAGTAACGTGTTTTCATTTCAGGTGGTGAAATCAACTCCAATTACTCATCTCTGGACTTAACTGCTTCCCATTACTGAAGCCAACACTTGAAAGATGGTTAGGATTCTCTAATCAGGTAATTAGAGGTGATGGCTCCTATTAACATAATCACGACTTCTGCAGAAATGGGTCTTCTCTCTGCTTGTTTGCACTGTTAGAATGTCTTTAATGGAACTGTGGGAGGGGAGGGTAGAAACCTCGCCATTAAGCAACAAGATTTGGAGATGGAACTGCTCATGATTTGGTCCCCTGGTTTATCAGCCTGTATTCCATCATCTATGAAATAATAGCCTTCTTAATGTCCATTTCATAGCCAGTTAGTATGTGAGATCTATGTATTCTCGGGTATTTCCTACTTAACCATTGAGTCTAGAAAACAGGAAGAATCGAATTGCTAAGATATAACAGAACACCTCATTTCTTTGCTGTTTATGGGCGTATCTAGGCTTATAATGTGGCAAAAGTCACAACAAGAGGATGGTGGAATGACCTAAGACAAAAGTAATATTTGCCTCTCACAATTAATACCAGCTCTTAAGATTTTGCTGGAAAAAATACTATTTATTTAATTGATTTTTTCTCCCAATAGTTCATAATGAATGCATAACAAGTAGGTAAAGTTAATCCTAGAAGCAATAAATAGAAGCTTAACCTGTTTCTTTCTTTCACCTGGTTAAAGGATAGACCCCAAACACATCAGTCCAGTCATACAAGGGACATTAACACTCAGGTCCCAGTACAGAAATGAGGTTCCAGAACTGTGAAGAGAATGAAATTAATCGAGAACTTAATTATGTAGGCAACACATTGCTTCTAAATGAACTTAACATTATTGCCAAACTCCTGGTCTATAAATTGAAACATCACTTGTGAAATGTTTGCTTTATGCTTAATCATTTGGAGTCCCACAGACCAAAGACAAAGTCCATCAAGAACTCATTTGCAGTCAAAAAAAAAAAACAAAGAAAAACATTAGGCTTGTTTATTTTGCTTCACTCTGGAAGAGAAAATGAAACCTGGGGAAGTACAGAATATCTAAGTAAGGGAGATCTGGGAAAGAAATCTCACCAGGTCTGAGCCATGTTGGGTAATTCTTAAAAGGTAATAGGGAAGTGAACAACAATTCTTTTTTGTTTTAACTTTTATTTCAATAACTTTTGGGGTACAAGTGTTTTCTGGTTAACGGATGAATTATATAACAGTGAATTCTGAGATTTTAGTGCACCCATCACCTGAGTAGTGTATATTGTACCTAATGTGTAATTTTTTTATCCCTAGTCCCTCTGCTACTCTCCCCATTCTGATTCTCTAAGGTCCATTATATCACTCTGTATGACTTGGTGTAGTCATAGCTTAGCTCCATTTATAAGTGAGAACATACAGTTTTCAGTTTTCCACTCCTGAATCACTTCACTTGGAATAATGGCTTCTAGCTCCATCCAAGTTGCTGCAAAAGACATTATTTCATTCCATTTTATGGCTGAGTAGTATTCCATATGATATGAATTAGTCCGTTCTCACACTACTATAAAGACATACCTGAGACTGGGTAATTTATAAAGGAAAGAGGTTTAAATGATTCACAGTTTTGCATAGCTTGGGGATGGGGGTGCCTCAGGAAACTTACAATCATGGTGGAAGGTGAAAGAGAAGCAAAGAAACATTTTAGACGGCAACAGGTGAGAGAGACCCAAAGCAAATGCAACATAAACAAAAATAAATAAATAGTGCTTAAACTAAAAAGCATCGGCACAGCAAAATAAATAATAATCAAAGTAAACAACAAGCCATGGAATAGGAGGAAACATTTGCGAAGGACGCATCTAACAAAGGACTAGTATCCAGCATCTACAAGGAACTCAAACAAATCAGCAAGATAAAACAAATAATCCTATCAAAAAAGTGGACAAAGGACATGAGTAGACATTTCTCAAAAGAAAATATACAAATGTCCAACAAACATATATTTAAAAAAGCTCAACATTACTAATTATCAGGGAAATGAAAATTAAAACCACAATGAGGTACCACCTTACTCCTTCAAAAATGGCCATTAATAAAACATCAAAAAACTATAGAAGTTGGTGTGGATGTGGGGAAAAGAAAATGCTTATACCCTGCTGGTGGGAATGTAAATTAGTAGAACACATGACTTGTGTATGTTAAACTATCCCTGCATCCCTGGTATGAAACCCATTTGATGATGATGTATTATCTTTTTGATATGCTGTTGGATTTGTCTAGCTAGTAATTTATTGAGGATTTTTGCATCTATGTTCATCAGGAATGTTGGTCTGTAGCTTACTTTTTTTGTTATGTTGTTTGTTGGTTTTGGTATTAGGGAGATATTAGCTTCATAGAATCATTTAGGGAGGAGTCCCTCCTTCTCAATCTTTTGGAGTACTTTAAGTAGGGTTGGCACCAATTCTTATTTGTGTATCTAGTAGAATTCAGCTGTGAATACATCTAGTTCTGGGCTTTTATTTGTTGGTAATTTTTAAATCACCGTTTCAACCTCCCTGCTTGTTTTTGGTCTGTCCAGGGTTTCTATTTCTTTCTAATTTAATCCAGGAGGGTAGTTTCCAGGAATGTATTCATTTCCTCTAGGTTTTTTAGTTTATGCACATAAAGCTATTCATAGTAATCTGGAATGTGCTTTTGCATTCCTGTGGTGTTTGTTGTAATGTCTCCAGTTTCATTTCTAATTAAGCTTATTTGGATCTTCTCTCCTCTTTTCTTGGTTATTCTAGCTAATGGTTTATCAATTTTGTTTATATTTTCAAAGAAAAAAAAATTTTCTTTCGTTGATCCTTTATTTTGCATTAATCTTTTGTAGTTCTGCTCTGATTTTTGTTGTTGCTTTTCTTCTGCTAGCTTTGGGTTTAGTTTGTTTTTGTTCCTCTAGTCCCTTGAGGTGTGACATGAGGTTGTCAATTTGTATCCTTTCAGACTTTTTCATGTAGCCATCTAGTGCTATCATCTTCACTCTCAGCACTGCTTTTGCTGTATCCCAAAGGCTTTGATAACTTGTGTCATTATTATCATTCCATTCAAAGAGTTTTTAAATTTTCATCATGATTTCACTGTTAACCCAGAAAATATCCAGGAGTATATTATTTAATTACCATGTATTTGTATAGTTTTGAGGATTCTATTTGGAGTTGATTTCTAGTTCTATTCCACTGTGGTCTAAGAAGATACTTGTTGTGATTTCAATTTTTAAAATTTATTGAGACTTGTTTTGTGGCTTATGATAGTGTCTGTCTTAGATAGTGTTCCATGTGCTGATGAGAAGAATGTATACTCTGCAGCTCTTGGGTAGAAAGTCCTGTAAATATCTCTTAAGTCCATTTTTTTCTAGTGTGTTGTTTAAATCCATTGTTTCTTTGTTGAATTTCTGTCAGTCATCTGCCTAGTGTTGTCAGTGGTGTATTGAAGTCTCTCACTAGTATTGTATTTCTGTCTATCTCATTTCTTAGTTTCAGTAGTAATTGCTTTATGAGTCTGGGAGTTCCAGTGATAGGTGCATATAAATTTAGAATTGTAATATCTTCTTGTTGGATCGATCCTTTTATTATTTATCATAACTTTCTCTTTTTTTTTTTTTTTTTTTTTTTTACTGTTTTTACTTTGAAGTCGGTTTGTCTGAAAAAAGATTAGCTACTTCTGGTCACTTTTGGTTGCCATTGGCATGGAATAACTTTTTCTACCCTTTTACCTTAAGTTTATATGAATCTTTCCATGTTAGGTGAGTCTCTTCAAGATGGCAGGTATTTTGGGTTTGTAATTTTTTATCTATTCTGCCATTTCATATCTTTTAAGTGAACTATTTAGGCCATTTACATTTAATGTTAATACTGGGATGTGAGATACTGTTCTCTTCATTACGCTTGATGTTTACCTAGATACTTTGATTTTTTGTGTATGTTATTGTTTCTTAGGCCTTGGGAGTTTTAAGCTTTCAAGAGATTCTATCTTGGTGCATATTGAGCCCTTGTTTCAAAGTTTAGAACTCCTTCTAGCATTTCTTGTAGTGCTGGTTTGGTAGTGACAAATTCCCTCAGCATTTGTTTGTCTGAAAATGACTTTATTTTTCCTTCATTTTTTGAAACTTACTTTTGTTGGATACAAAATTCTTGCTTTTTCTGTTTAAGGAGACTGAAGATAGGACCCCAATCTTCTCCAGCTCGTAAGGTTTCTGCTGAGAAATATGATGTTAGTTTGATAGGTTTTCCTTTATAGGTTACCTGATGCTTTTGTCTTATTACTCTTAGAATTCTTTCCTTCACGTTGATGTTAGGTAGCCTGATGACTACGCACCTTGGTGAAGATATTTTGGCAATAAATTTCCCAAGAGTTCTTTGAACTTCTTGGATTTGGATATCTAAATCTCTAGCCAGACTAGGGAAGTTTTCCTCAATTTACTCTCAAATAAATTTTCCAGAGGTTTTCTTTTCTCCCTCAGGAACACTAATTATTCCTAAGTTTGTCGATTTTACACAATCCCATATTTCTTGGAGACTTTGTTCATTTCTTTTTCTTATTTTTTCTTATTTTCATCTGATTGGCTTAATAAAAAAGCTTTGTCTTCAAGTTCTAAAATTCTTTTACTTGTTCTAGTCTATTGTTAAAAATTTCCACTGCATTTCATAAATTCCCTAAGTGTATCTTTCATTTACAGAAGTTCTGATTTTTTAATGATATCTATCTCTCTAGAAAATTTTTCATTCATATCCTGAACTCCTTTTAAGTTTCTTTATGTTGGTCTTCGCCTTTCTCTGGTATTTTCTTGAGTAGCTTAATAATCAACCTCCTGATTTCTGTATCTGGTATTTCAAAGATTTCGTCTTGGTTTGAGTGCATTGCTGGGGAGCTAGCGTAATCTTTTGGGGTTGTTATAGAACCCTGTTTTGTCATGTTATCAGTTATTTTCTGGTTCCTTCTTCTTTGGGTAGACTATTTATTCTAATTATTCTTGAATTTATATGACTTTTTTTAAATTTATTGTTTTCCTCTTAAGTCTGTGACTTTAATGTTTAAAATTAATTGTAGCCTAATGGAGTTCTTGGTGTTTTCAGCAGTGAAAATTCAGTAAGACTTCCTTGATTATAGGGAATCTTTGCATGATGGGTTTGTCATATGCCGGTTGTAGTAGCAATGTGCTCAGTGTGTGAGCAAGTTCACTGTCTTCTATAGGGTTGGAATAGTAGAGGTCTCTTGAAGCTTTTTCTCATACCCTGTGGCATGCACTTTCTTATTTATTTATTTATTTATTTATTTTTCCTCAGTATTTATTTTATTGGCTTGATGGTTCGGGCTTTAGGCCAATAGGGGAGATGTCCCTGTGTAGGAACTAGTTGTAGCTAATTCAGGTAGGTAAATGCAATACCCAATATGGGCAGAGGTCCCAGCCTTGATGGAGGTGGCTGGAGGAGCTATCAGTGAGTCTTAATGAGGGCTTATCAGGAGAAAGGGTTCGAGCCACCTCAGCTCCCCTGCCAGGACAGTAGGAAAGCTATCCATGTCCCAGACATACTTCTGTCCCAGTGATATAGCTATTCAGATCAGACAGGCACCTCTTTTCATTTGTAGGAATGTTGATGTTCCAAGTAGAGAGGAATTGTGAACCTTTGCAGATGTAGTCACGCTGACATGTTCCAGAAAGTCTGTCTATAGTTGTGCCCATGCCAAGCTCCCATGGGAAAAGCCCCAGCTGTGCCCGTAGTGATGGATGAGGAGGAAATACTTCCCTTTCTCCAACATCCTTCACACACGCCAGAGCTGTCTGTTGGTCAGAGCTGCAGACTTTCCCTGCCGAGCCCAGAACTGCAACCATGCCTCTGCTGAAAGAAACTCTCCACCAGCTAAAAGATCTGATTTGTGCTCAAGGCCTGTTGTCTGGATTCTTTTATCCCACGGTGTGTTCCCTTTTTGTGGTGTACCCCCGCTTCCCCTAGAATCCCTTGGAGACAGACTACTGTGAGTGTTGTTGCTCCTCTGGGTCTAGCCTCCCAGTGAAGTTGCCACACTCTAGGCTGGTACTAGGAAATGTCTTCAAGGGATCCAGTGATGTGACCTGCCCTCAAGTCTCCCAGCAGTGGGTACAGCTCTCATGGGGATGGCAGGGTAGTGACACAGACTCTGTGAGATTCCTTCATTTTAGATAGCCTAGTGCGTTGGCTTTCTCAAATGCCAGTTATAGTGGTAGGGAACTGATCACGTGGACAGACTTAGGACCTCCTGGTTAGCCAGAGTGGTGCAAGTAGTGGTGATAACTGAAGTCACACAGCTGTTTTCTCCTTCCTGGGTGCAGTGGTTTTCTACCAGGAGGTGCTGTAATGGATTGTTGTGTGGCCTCCAGCCAGGAGGTGACACCTGCAAAAGAGCGCCCTCTGTGGTAACAGCAGTGGGATTTTTGATTGCCGTATGTTGCCCAGAAAGGTACTCAGGTTTCTGAGGCAATGGACGGGGCCATAAAGCTCCCAAAAGTTTCTGTCCTTGGTGTTAAGTGTGTCACTAGCAGCAGTGAGCTAAGTTCCAGGCAGCCTGCACTCAGAACTCACAAATGCCTCATGTCATAAGCTTTCCCTATGGAGATAGCAACTGTGGCTTCCAAGATACACTCCTCCTTGTCTTCCCACAAAGCCGGGTGCCTGGCTCCTGTGCGTGTGGCTACAGCCTGCTTTTCACTTGCCCTTCCCCAGCTGTGGCCAAGGAAGTTTGTCTCCACTCAAGGTTGTATTGCAAATTCCATTTGAGGGTTTCTTTCAACCTGCGACCACTGCCTGAACTATTTGGCCGGCCTCTGCAGGGTCCTCTGTGAGGAACAATATGGAATGGCTTCCCTTGGTCTATGCTGGAGACTGTGAGTGCAGGCGGAGGTCTTTTCTGTGCTGTTCTTACTTTCATATTCCATGACCCTCCTCAAGTCAGTGCCTGTGCTGGGTAGGGTTAATGCCATCCTCTGTGGCCTGAACTTTCAAGATCCCTGGTGAGAATGTGTATCCTGGAGACAGCCTCTATCCCTCTCACACTCTGAGGACTCACAGACCTTTGCCTGACTCATGGTGTAGGCTGCAGCCTGGTACTTCCTTCAAAGGGCCTGTGGATTCTTTCAGTTTCCTGTTCAGTTCCTGAATCACTTATTGAAAGGAAGTGTTTATGGCGTGAATTTCTAAACACTATTTTGTCCTTCCAAGTGGGAGAGGTGTGCTAGCAATGCCTCTAATCAGCCATGATGAAACAAAAAACCCATGAACACCAATTTTTGATTGGCTGTCTTTAAGAAATTGGAAAAATTCAGAAATTGGATATTTTAATATTTTAAACTAGGAGGTGGAAGTTTTAAGCAATAGTAGAGTTTTCATTGGCAAGGAAGGAAAAATCGCTCAGAAAATATGTCAGTGAAAAGAAAAAGAAGTTGGTCATTTTTGTGGTCTTAGAGTTTCCTTGTTTAATTTGGAAGGAATATCACAATTTGGTTGTACACAATGTAATTTTTTACTTTTTCAGCACTACATAGAAACTCATGAAAGTTTTATTATATCCTAATTTTTTAAAGTATAGAAGTAAAAGTGATCTTTGCCATTGCAGCAATAATGTCCATATAGGTTTATTGGCACATTTGTGGAAAGCATCAGCATAAATCATCCGGTTTACAATCATTTTATTGTAAATATCCTATTTTTCTGTGGCTCTAAATTTCCTTTAAAATTGTTAATTCAGTGAAGAAACACCTTTGAACTAGACCTACTAAATAAAAATGTAAACTATGTATTCCTATTTTCAGAAAAAAATATTGATGTAAATTTCATATGATATTTTGCTCTGTGAGGTACATAAACTTTCAATCATGGACAAATACAGTCTTAAGACTCCTGTTAAAATATTTTCTTTAATTATTTTATTTCAGATGCTTGCTTATAAATAAACATCTTTCAATTAATTTAGGTGAAAGAATACAATTTAGCAGCCATCCTGTACCAGTTACTGTTCAATCTAATTCTCAGTCTTGTGGCAGAAAATAGACAAAGTAATATGGCAAATATGTGTTGATATACTTACAGGAGGGAAGAAGAGGAGGATGAAAAAGAGAACACGTAACTCAGACTAACAGATCAGAAAGACTCCAAAGACATACTCTCGAGCTGCGTGTTGAGTGTAAAAGATAGAGTTAAGAGTAAGTGAAGAGAGGATATTCCCAGTGGAAAGAACATCATGTGAGAAGACATTAAAAAAAAAATCAGATGATATTTTATGAGGGGTGCTCTTACATAAGTATTTGCACAGAGCGTGGTAAAAAGTGAGCATTTATTGAAAAATTTATGAATTAATCACCTACTTATGGCGATAAGTTAAACCAACCCTAAAAATCATTGTCTTGAGAAACTCTTTGCACACACATCAGCCTCACTCCCAGGTCTGTGAGATGACTTGCAGCTTGGAAGGAGGCACCCACCCTGAGTGAAGTGAGATCCTGGAGTTATTAACATGCAGTTTCAATTATATTCCACCCTCTCCAATCACAAGGCAAAAATATAGGTTGTGACACACATATATTCAGCAGAGATTTTCAAACTTGTATTGACATTTAGGCCAGTCGAACATATATTAAAAACTAAAATTTCCATGCCACCTGACTCTGAAACCTTTTTCCTCACCACAGCAACAGAATGCAAGTTACATCTCCTTATATGTTAATCAATGAGCATGCATCCAGGACTCTGCTAGATACTATGAAGGGCTCAAGAAAAATAAACTGAATTATCCTTAACTTTTACTTTGCATTTTACAGTGACAAAGGCTACAGATCAATATAAGAAGGATGAAATCAAATGTGAAATTTTATGATACAGAGAGTAAAAGCTGTCAGACTGAAGAACAGACATTACTCTAAGTTAAAAACAACTAAAAATGGGCCAGGCATGGTGGCTCACTCCTGTAATCCCAGCACTTCGGGAGGCTGAGGAGGCGGATCACGAGGTCAGGAGATCCAGACCATCTTGGCTAACACGGTGAAACCCTGTCTCTACTAAAAATACAAAAATTAGCCTGGTGTGGTGGCAGGTGCCTGTAGTCCCAGCTACTCGGGAGGCTGAGGCAGGAGAATGGCGTGAACCCGGGAGGCAGAGGTTGCAGTGAGCCGAGATCGCGCCATTGACTCCAGCCTGGACGACAGAGCGAGACTCTGCCTCAAAACAATCAAACAAACAAACAAAACTAAAAATGTTTATAGACAAGATTTCCATAAGACCTGTGTTGTATGATAAAAGTGCTTATAACCTATTGAGATCAAGCAGAGAAAAACGATCCTGATTTAAAATCACGAAAATGTTCAGAAAACATCCAGAAAAACCACATTCTGTTAATAACACATCACTAAAAGCAATTACATTCATTTTGCAAATACGCTAACTTGAAATCTGGAACAATTTTTGGGAGAGAGATCACTGTTTTCTGTTTATCTGGGAGAAATCACTGGGACTTGTAATAAGCAGATTAGTTTCCCTTAAGGATCTTGTACTGTAAAAAGAAAATAAACAACAGAAAAATCAGGTGTTATGTACAGTTCTCTTGGTTCGAAAAATTTACAAATGGCACACTCATGCAGATTACAGAGACTCCATGGAGTAAAACGAAGTAAAATGTATCACTGAGACACCATTTCATCACTCTCTGTTGAGTGGCAGAAATCCAGTTCTCTTTCAACCTTACTAAAGGAAAATATGTATGAGGTTAAGAGAATTTTAAGAAGAAAATTACTCACTGCTGCCAAGCTGGACCGAATCCTGCACCCCAAACTGATTATGTGAAGGAAAAACAGGGCTAGTAAATAATCCAGATGGATCTCTTTGTCAGTATTTTGTTAGTCAGTCAAGAATTTAAGCACCTACTATATACCATGTACTATCTAGGTATTGAGAACACAACCACGACTAAATAAAAAGCTGTGCCTTTACAGTATATATAGTTTAATAAACGGAGCAATCTATAAACAAAGTCTGACATGAAAAAGGAAAATTCAGATTAACAACTGTTAATTTGGCAAAGTTGCAGGATACAAAATCAACAAACAAAATCAGTAGTGCTTCTTATACACAAACAATAAAGTAACTGAAAAAGAAATCAAGAAGGCGATCTCATTTACAATAGCTACAAATGAAAAATGAAATAAATACAAAAAATCCCTAGGAATAAACTTAACCAAGAAGGTGAAAGACTTCTACAAGAAAAACTGCAAAACACAAATAAAAAAATTGAAAATATAAACAAATGTAAAAACATCCCATGATCATGAATCGAAAGAATTGCTATTGTTAAAATGACACTATTACCCCAAACAATCTACTGATATAATGCAATTTCTATTAACATACTAATGACATTCCTCACATAATTGGAAAAACAATTTTAAAATTTGTATGGAATCACAAAGGACCTCAAACAACCCAAAGCAATTTTGAACAAACACAACTAAGCTGGTCACATCACACTACCAGACTTCAAAATATACCACAAAACTGTAGTAACCAGACTAGCACTGTACTCACATAAAAACAGAAACAAAGACCAACAGAACAGAATGGAGAATGCAGAAATCCATATATCTACAGCCAATAGATTTTTGACAAAGGTGTCAAAAAACATACATTAAGGAAAAGAAAATCTCTTCAATAAATGGTGCTAGAAAAACTGGATATCCATATGCAGAAGTATGAAACTAGATTTCCCACCTATCACCTGATTTAAAAAAAAAAAATCAACCCAGGCCCAGCGTGGTTGCTCACACCTGCAATTTCAGCACTGTGGGAGGCCAAGGCGAGTGGATCACTTGAGGCCAGGAGTTCAAGACCATCCTGGCCAACATACTGAAACCCGGTCTGCACTAAAAATACAAAAAAAAAACTAGCTGGACATGGTGATGCATACCTGTGATCCCAGCTACTTGGGAGGCTGAGGCATGAGAATCACTTGAACCCAGGAGGTGGTGGTTGTAGTGAGTTGAGATCATGCTGCTGCACTCCTCCAGCCTGGGAGACAGAGGAAGACTCTGTTTCAAAAAATAAATAATAAAATAAAAATCAACTCGGCATGGGTCAAAGGCCTAAATGTAAGACTTGAAGCTATAAAACTATTACATGAAAACTTAGGGGAAATTCTTCAGGACATTGATCTGGGAAATGATTTTATGAATGGGACCTGAAAAGCACAGGAAACAAAAGCAAAAGTAAATAAATGAAATTGTATCAACCTAAAAAAGCTTCTGCACACAAAGGAAAAAAAATGAATGGAGTGAAAAGACCATCTAAAGAATAAGAGAAAATATCTGCAAACCATTCGTCTAACAAGGGTCATATATATATATCTAGGAACTCAAACATCACAACATCAAACACCAAAGAATCCTATTACAAAATGGACAAATGATCTGATCACACATGTATCAGAAGAAAACTACAAATATCCAATAAATATATGAAATAATGTTCAACATCACTAATCATTAAGGAGATGCATATCAAAGCCACAATGAGGTATCATTTTACCAATTAGGATGGCTATTACTAAAGACAAAAGATAAAAAATGCTGGTGAGGATGTTGGGAAAAGGGAACTCATACACTGTTGGTGAGAATGTAAACAAGTATAGCCACTATGGAGGTTCCTCAAAAAACTACAAGTAGAATTACCTTGTGATAAAGCAATCCCACTACTGGTTATTTATCCAAAGAAAAATGAATTGGTTTATCAAAGAAACATCTGCACCCCATGTTTATTGTAGCACTATTCACAATAGCCAAGATGTAGAATTGACCTCGGTCTTCAACAATAGAGTACTATTCATCCATCAAAAAGAATGAAATTTTATCATTTAAGGCAACATAGATGGAACCGGAGGACATTATGTTTAGTGAAATAAGCCAGGAACAGAAAGTTAAACACTGTATGTTCTCATTCATATATGGACTCTTTAAAAAGTTGATCTCATAAAAGGAAAAACTGTAACAGAAGACACCAGAGGCTTGGAAAGGCAGGGGGAGGAGGGAGGGATACAGAGAGGTTTGTTAAGGGATTCAAAGTTACAGCTAGAAAGAAAAAATACATCATAGTGTTCTGTAGCACTATAGGATGACTGTAGCTAACAATATATAGTTTCAAATGGCTAGAAAGATGATATTGAATATTCCTAAAACAAAGAAATGATAAAGCTTTGAAATGATGGATATGCTAATCGCCCTGATCTGATCACTATACATTACATGTATCACAAAATCACTATGTACCTTATAAATATGTAAAATTATCATATGTTCATTTAAAAAATTTAAAGACCTAAATGACGACAAGAAGAATTTGGGGGAGGCACATTCGAAGAAGGAGAGCAATTGTTCTTTTTAATTTTTCATTCATAATTCTTTCATACAAACAAGCAAACAACAACATACAGTTACCAAGCCCGTACTATGCCCAGGCATCATTGAACAATATTAGAAAGCAATTATAAATAAAAGTATCAAAGAAGCCATAGTTTAATAGAGGAAAATATGCCCAAAAGGAGAATGGAAAAAGTGAGGTGTGAAAAAAACATCTTTTTGTTGTTGTTGTTGTTGTTTCCAAGTGTCAGATAATCAGAGGGTAACAAAGAAGAACAAACAAAAGATGCCAGGATAACAAACAAAAACAAAAGACACTATATGTTAATGAATTATAACAAAGTTCAACCACTTCTTTACTCTTTTACTTCTTCTATAGTTCCTGTTTGCTTGTCTTTGGAACTGAGGGAAAACTTTAAAAATGTGCCTTTTCTGATTTTTACTAAATATAGTCTCTACATTAAAATGCACCCATTTTATGCACACATTTGGACAAATTTTGACCAATTGTACATCCATGTAACCACCACCACAATCAAGTTAGTCAACAATTCTACCACTCTCTAAAAGCTTTCTCATTACGTTCTATCAATCCATGCCTACACCACCAGGCTACAGACTTTTCTGTAATTTTTGAACATGTATTACAATTTTGGTTGAAAATGGTACATTGTGGATAATAAATGATACAGGCTAGTTATTCTGCATTCAGTTGGGTTCTTATGAGGATTTTTTTCTTCCAGCAGTATTTTAACTAGCCTACATTCACGCAGCAAATTTGTTCTTTTCTGCCTTGTTCAGGAGCTAATAACCTTGCTCAGTTGTTTCGGTTTCCAGCTACTGCGTTTTTTTCTCGCCTGCTCCCCTCATGTCCCCTATCCCCTCATCTCCCCTGAACATGTGTAGTTTACTGGTTAGCTAAAGATTTGAGAAGTTGATATTCACCCTTGGGAACTCATCCTTTCTGTGGTTTCATTGTTTTCAAGCATTGCCCTGTACATTTCCAGCTACTCTGGCAGCTCCAAGCTCTATTCTTTGACATCTCAACCCAGTAATGTGTTTTCTTTTTCTTTCTTTTTTTTTTTTTTTAAACAGGGTCTCACTCTGTCGCCCAGACTGCAGTGCCGTGGCATGATCTCGGTTCACTGCAACCTCCACCTCCCGGGTTCAAGCAATTCTCCTGCCTCAGCCTCCCGAGTAGCTGGGATTACAGGTGCCCGCCATCATGCCCAGCTAATTTTTGTATTTTTAGTGGGGGCGGGGTTTCACCATGTTGGCCAGGCTGGTCTTGAACTCCTGACCTTAGGTGATCTGCCCACCTCAGCCTCACAAAATGCTGCGATTACAGGCATGAGCCACAGCACCTGGACATAATGTGTTTTCTATTGCCTGACTTGTTCACAGGTTAAAGAATCACATGATGAAAATAGACCAAACTCACAAATCTCATCCAGTGTGCTTTTTTCTTTAAATGGTGGCTTCTTTGCTGGTTTCTTCCTTCTTTTTCACTGAGCTGCTGGGAGAGTCCCCCATGCATGTGTTTGTTTAGGAGTCATCCAGGATTACATCCAGATTTGGGGTCCATCTTCCTTCTGTGGCTCTCTTGCTTCTTGAATACAACCTATACATTTTCAGCTTCTCTGCCAGCTGCGACCTCATTCCTCTCCTTTTCTAGCCAGTTAGGCTGCAATTATTTTCAGCTGGAGCTATCAAGAGTTGGGTAGTGACCACAAGCAAAGCAGCAACAAACTCATGATAATTATCTAACTGAATCACAATCTTTCAAGAGTAAAATTTCCTCCAATTTCTATCTGCTTGGTAACTCTTTCCAAGGTTGTCAAATTCATGTTATTATATGTGTTGGTCCATTTGTGTCTCTATAAAGAATATCTGAGGCTGGGAAATTTATGAAGAAAAGGTAATTATTCTGGCTCATGGTCCCGCAGGCTCTATGAGATGCATGGCACTAGCATTTACTCCTGGTGAGGCCTCAGGAGGCTTACAATCATGGTGGAAGGTGAAGGGGGAGCAGGAGTGTCACATGGCAAGAGAAGGAGCAAAAGTGGGAGGAGGAGGTGCCAGGCTCTTTTAAAAAAACAGCTCTAGCATGAATTCATAGTGAAAACTTGCTCATTTTCTCAGGGAGGGCAACAAACCATTCATGGAGGATTCACTTCCTTCATCCAAACACCTCCTGCCAGGCTCTACTTCGAGCATTGGGGATTACATTTCAACACAAGATTTGCAGGGGACACACATTCAAACCATATCATTATTGTTGTAGCTGTTTTTTACTATTTTCTACAATTAATAACTGTAATTTGCAGGAAGGCTTACTCCAAAAATGTACTGAGCAATTACCAAAATTCAGAACCAAAATAAACTCTTAATAAAATATTGCTAAAACAAAATTAAAAGGTAGAAAATTAGACCATAAGTTTTCTGCTATCAGAGTTCCTGATTAATTTATGTCTGTATCTGAAAAATATATCCTGGATAATGTCTACTAACTATATAGTATAGAACCTGTGTTTAGTACCACACAGCTAAAACGGATCACCAAATTCTGCTGTGTAGAGAGTCCATGGAGGGAGAATCAGTGTCAACACTATACTGTCACAGCTGATAGTCAAGTAAAATAAGGGAGAAGCTGGCAAGGAGAAAGTTGACTGGGCTCACGTGGATCAATTGTAATGTGTATTTAAATACTTCTGAGTGATTTACTTAGGATTGCAACAGCTAATATTTATTCAGTATTTATAGTGTGCCAGACACTGTAAACTAAACACTTTATATATATTACTTCATTTTAATTACGAAAACAATAGTGATTTAGAAATCATTCTTTTCTTTTAACAAATAAACTTAGGCAAAGCCATATTAAGCAAGTTTCTCGGTGTCATACTACTAATAAATACTAGAGGCAAGATTTGAATCCCAAAATCTCTGACTCCAAAGACTTCATTCTTAACTACAGTAGTAATTGTTTAAACAGATGTTTGACAATTAATTCAATATATTCTGTAGAAAGCCCTTTGTAGAGGTGCATAAAAATTCTTATAAGACAGAGGATTAAAATCTGTACTACGTGAAGAACTGTTCCAAATAAATAAGAAAAAATTTTAAACATGAATATCCTGAGCAAAAACAATTTGCAAAGGAGAATATAGACTGTCAATTGATGTGTGGAACTAAAGTTAGTCAAATACTTAGTATTGATCCAAATACATAATTATTCAAATATATGGAAAAAAATAACAAAAACCTATTTTATAAGGCTCACAAAGATTAATAATATTGATAAATGCCCAGTATTTTAAAAAGTGAAAATGAATTTTCATACATTGTTAATAAAGATGATTTTGGGTGGTCCTTTTGGAAAGACACCTTGGTAATATGTACACCTAAAAATATCCATTTGTCTTGACTCATAAATTTATGTAAAAATTATTCCAAATATTGACATTTTTTTTTTTTGAGATGGAGTTTCGCTCCTGTTGCCCAGTCTGGAGTGCAGTGGTGCCACCTCAGTTCTCTACATCCTCTGCCTCCTGGGTTCAAGTGATTCTCCTGCCTTAGTCTCCCTAGTAGCTGGGATTACAGGCATGAGCCACCATGCCTGGCT
Source organism: Homo sapiens (assembly GCF_000001405.40). NCBI lineage: Eukaryota > Metazoa > Chordata > Mammalia > Primates > Hominidae > Homo > Homo sapiens. The sequence goes on from NC_000002.12 coordinate 116,466,244, forward strand.
AATTTTTTTTTTTTAGTAGAGACAGGGTTTCACCATGTTGGTCAGGCTGGTCTCGAACTCCTGGCTCAGGTGATCCACCCACCTTGGCCTCCCAAAGTGCTGGGATTATAGGCATGAGCCACCGCCCTGCCAGGCCAACTATTGATATTTTTATATAAGTAAACATTAACATAGTATTTTATAAAAAATTGAAATCAATCTAGGTATACAATGCTGAAGAGAAGCAAATCAAATATGGTGTTTTTACTCAAGGAAATACTACGCAGTCAGAATATAATTCTGTAGATTTTGATGAGTATGGGAAACATAGGATATTACTGTAAATAAATGAATTGGACTTGTTGTAAAGCTACAGTTCACATTCCAAGTTTTTTGTTTTTAAAAAAAAAGAGGCAGGAAAAAATTGTTTATCCAGGCCTACCCTGGAATGAAACACTTGAGCCCAAAGATTTGAGTAAGCCATTAAGAGCCACTCTATTTTACTAAACTGTTACTGAAACTGAGACTTCTGAGACTTCGGTACCCCAACATTTTTAGTGGCTGAAATAATGAAAATTTTGGTTAGGCTCTTGCTTGCTTGCACAAAGGCCAACATCCCTTGTTATAAACTCCTGTTGTACTGTCTTTTTGATAAGTAGGAGGAGATAACTTAAGGGTCACATAGTATTTTTGCAGAAGGAACGAATGCCTTTAAGAACATTGCAGCCAGCTACTGATGCTGGTGGCTCAAGGTGTTATCTGAATTGGAAAAGTGGCTCAAGGTGTTATCTGGTGGCTCAAGGTGTTATCTGAATTGGAAAAGGTGGCTCAGGGTGTTATCTGGTGGCTCAAGGTGTTATCTGAGTTGGAAAAGGACAGACTTTTCCCCCAGGGATCCCTAAAACTCCCCTTTTTACTGGCTAGCTTCTTTGCGTTAAGATGGATTTAAGGGATCTTGCTCTCCTGCTTTGGCAAAATTGAATAAACCTTTATCTTCAGGTATTGGTGTGTCAGTGTTTAGTATTAGCTGTGTGTTTGATACACGAGCCTATATTTTGGGTTCTTCAACAGTTCTGGTGACCATGGTAGGATATTGTCCTCATAGGTGAATAGCACCAGCAGGATCTGAGCACACAGGGCATCCCTGCTGCTGTTCTGGAGTTTTGCCCGGGAAACACTTCTCATCACTTCCCTTCTTGCTGGTGCCAACAACCTTCAGGACAACAATCACTTGGAGTGGAGATACGTGCCAGACTTCAGTCTGCTTTCAGTTTTGCCTCTGCTGGGTGAGTTGCTTTGACATGCACAGCTGTGATTCTCTGTCTCTCCATTTGCATTTTGTTAGTTGTTGAAAAGAGGGACCCTTATTTGGGAGAGTTGAGGAAATTGTTGGACTCCACCCTTTTGTCCTGCAGGAATTTTATTTTATTCTTTGTGTAAACGTGTGTATTTATTTTGTATGCAAGTGTGCAACTAAGGGAACTAATTTGATTCCCAAATGCAGCCCTTTGGATTACATTCTCCAGAACTGCATTGCTTTTAGTTGGGAACCAACGAAGCATAAAAAAATATTTTCTTTTATAATACAGTCTTGCCACAATATTCCCTAGGTTCAGGTAAGACTCAACTGGTCCATAAGTTTTATGGGGATGCTCACACTAACAGTACAGGAAAAGACATCTTCATCAGATCAGCGCAATGCGTAACTTACTCACTAATCACAGGAACTCCTCTGGCTTACGTGTTTGAGCTATGGGAAAGTTCAAAGGCATGCCAGGTCTTCTACAACTCCAGGTGGTTACATATTATGGCCCATGCTTGTGCACATATTAAGTAGGTAGGCAAATTATAGCAAAAGAAAATTCAGAACTCAAATGGTCAACTTGCAACTGTAGTGTTAAACTGTAGAGTCTTCTAAATCTCCCTGTTTCTCTCTTTTATTTTTCTGCCTGCTTCGAATCTGCTGTTACTGGCTACTGGTATTGAGATAAAACTCACTATTTTCTGATACTGCTAACTGCTAATTCAAGACTACTTGGAGATTCTGTTTCTCTTATACAGTTCTCCCCAAAATGAAAGATTGAAACTCATTTGAAACTGAAGGGAAAAAAAAGGGTAAAATAGGTTTCTAAAATCAACCTGTCATGGAAACGGTTTTGCCTAAATTTTTGTCTCACAGCCGTCATTTGATTATCTGTGAGGGCAAATAAAGTTTAGCCATATGAACAGGTTCTAATTTCATCAGAAATTATTTGGATCTAGCGAATTTTTGTAAACTGGGGATACTGTGCTGCTATCTCATGGCTAGAGTCCTGAGGAAAAAGCTATTGGATCCTTGTTTATATGTGTGTGAATATATGTTTACATGTTTTCATGTGTATGTACATATATTGTCCTATATATTGTGTCTATATGGTACCACATTGGTTTATTATTAAAGGAGTGTTCATAAATTAAATAAGCCACATTGCTTTCCAATTAAATGTTGGATAAATAGGCTAATTTTTAAGTTGTTGGTGAGATAAACATGGACCATCAATGGATCTCTTAACTATGTTATTATGTGATTTAGAACCATTTCATAATAGGAAAAGAAAATGAAATAAAATTCCATATATGCAGCTTTTATGTTACTGCTTCAGAATGAGTCCACACAGAGAATGTTCAATTTGATGGTGCAAGGGGTGAGAAACTCAAGTCAAAAATATTAGAATCTCAAATACTAGATGAGGAGAATAATGTCTTGATCAATGTTTTGAACCCTCCTGCCATGCCAATGAACCACCACTGGGGCCAGATCACCCTCTCAGTTGATGCCAATTCAATTTGCACCTGAACCACTACCTCCTTTTCCAGTAGACCCAGATTTGATATGGGGGATGGGGTGCAGAATGGGACAAGCTCCCCTGATGGAAGAAAGTCAGGAAGTAAGGATATAATCTCACCATTCTGTACTTGACAGGGTATCCAATTTGGCCTGAGGGCTGGGACTCCTCGGGCAGGGCAGTTTCCACTTTGCCAATTCCCACATGGAGGGCTAAATTCCAATGGACAGCCTATAGGTATGATGTGGACACAGTGCCCATTCCCCACATGGATTTATTTAATTGAAAAAAATAATAAACTTTTTTATTGGCATGACCCTAGATTCATGGCCAAGTTGTGTTTCCTTCACCTTTTTGACATATTACCCTACCTGAGCTGATAGGCTTTAATGAATGTTTTGCTCGTGGCTGTAGGACACCATATGGTTATTGAAAAAGCAAGAGCAGAAGTCCATTGGCTTTATCCTGAGGGTGGGAACAACTGCCCTGAATCTTCTGATGCTATTCCTATGGTTGAACCAAGTTGGGATGTGAACAATGGGGACCTGTACTTATCGGGGGAACCTGCCCCCAATCTTTCAGTGTAGGTTCTTTCTATTTTCCCTAAGTGTCAGCCAGTCTGAGAAATAAAGAGAAAGAGTACAAAGAGAGGAATTTTACAGCTGTGCCACCGGGGGTGACATCACATATCGGTAGGTCTGTGATTCCCACCTGAGCCGCAAAACCAGCAAGTTTTTATTAAGGATTTCAAAAGGGGAGGGGGTGTATGAACAGGGGGTAGGTCACATGCTTTAAGGGGCAAAAGGCAGAGCAAAGATCACATGCTTCTGAGGAAATAGGGCAAGGACAAAATCAGAACTCCTGATAAGGGTCTATGTTCAGTGGTGCATGTATTGTCTTGATAAACATCTCAACAGAAAACAGGGTTCGAGAGCAGAGAACCGGTCTGACCTCAAATTTACCAGGGCTGGGGGTTCCCGATCCTAGTAAGCCTGAGTGTACTGCAGGAGACCAGGACGTATCTCAGTCCTTATCTCAACCGCACAGGACAGACACTCCCAGAGCGACCGTTTATAGACCTCCCCCCAGGAATGCAATTCTTTTCCTAGGGTCTTAATATTATATTCCTTGCTAGGAAAAGAATTTAGCAATATCTCTCCTACTTGCATGTCTGTTTATAGGCTCTCTACAAGAAGAAAAATATGGCTCTTTTTGCCCGACTCCACAGGCAGTCAGACCTTTTGTTGTCTTCCCTTGTTCCCTAAAATCACTGTTATTCTGTTCATTTTCAAGGTGCATTGATTTCATATTGTTCAAACACACATGTTTTACAATCAATCTGTACAATTAATGCAATCATCACAGGGTCCTGAGGTCCTGAGCTTACGAAGACAACAGGATTAAGAGGTAAAAGTAAGACAGGCATAAGAAATTATAAGAGTATTATTAGAGAAGTGATAAATGTCCATGAAAACTTCACAATTTATGTTCAGACATTGCAGTAAAGACAGGCATAAGAAATTATAAAAGTATTAATTTTGGGAACAGATAAATGTCCATGAAATCTTCACAATTTATGTTCCTCTGCCACAGCTCCAGCTGGTCCGTCCGTTCGGGGTCCCTGACTTCCCACAACACATACTGGCTTAAGCATTATATTAATTGTATTCTGGAAAGATTAAGGAAAGGACTCCTACAATTGAAAAGCCTCAGTAAGTTCAGGAGGTTGAGCAACAATCCCAGGAGAGCACCTCTCAGTTTTTAGAATAATTATGTATATAGAAAATAAACTGATGCCAATATCAAGGCCTCTGAGGGTCAGAGAATAACTGTCAGCTTAAGTTCCCCAGATATCAAAAGGAAGTTACAGAAGGTAGATGACATCCTTGAGCTGTCAATCTCGTATTTGGTGGAGCTTGTTTCTAAGGTTTACAACAATAAAGGTGAAGTGAAAGGAAAAGAAAGGTGAAGTAATAGCACTCTACTGCTGAGCTGATAGGAAGATAGGAAAGAGGTTAAAAGAAGGATGATGGAAGGTAAGAGGAACGCCCCCTCCTTGAGGAAAGAATCAATGTTTATATTGCAAAGAAGAAGGACATTGTACAAAGGATTATCCCAAATTGGTGAAGGAAAAAAGAAAAGTAAGATTCCCTCAGCCCGGATGGCAGAAGTGAAGGAGAGAGATACAGCTGAAGAAAGAAGAGGCCCCAGGGCTCCATTAGATCTGAAGCGATCAGTGTCATATCCACACAAGAGCTCTTGTAATTGAGAGTAGGAAACAAACTGATTGACTTTCTTATTAATACAGGGGCCACATCATTTGTAGTTAACACCCACTTGTTCCCTGATTCAAAAGAGACTATGGTGGTTACAAGAATGTCAGGGGAACTGTGACTTGCCCCTTCCTGCAATCTTTAGATTGTCATCTCTGAGAAACAAGCCTAAAGCATAGTTTTTTATTTATGCCTGAATGTTCTGTTCTCCTTCTGGGTTGAGATTTACTTGCTCCACTAAATGTTCAGATTATTAAACACATATTTTCTAGCCACCGTGACTTGAGTGGCTGACCACTGGAGCAACCAGAATTGGAAATATGTACTGATGGAAGTAGCTTCATGGGCCAAGGACATCGTTGAGAAGGTTATGCAGTTGTCACCTTGCAGGTCACCTTAGAAGCCAAGGCTTTGCCTCCGGACACCTCAGCTCAGAGATCTGAACTTATAGTCCTTACCAGGGCTTTCCTAATAGGTAAGGACAAAGCTGTCAGTATTTACACAGACACAAAGTATGCTTTCTCAGTGATGCATGCAAACAGGGCCATATGGAAAGGAAGACTACTTTTAAGTACTGAAAATAAAGACATCAAACATGTGCCAGACATTTTGACCTTATTGAAATCTGTGAACAACCCTAAGGAAGTAGCTGTTATGCACTACTCCAGGCACAAGAAGGGAAATTCCCTAATAGCAAAAAGAAATCAACAAAGCTGCAGATCAAGTAGCTAAGGCTGTGGGAAAGACTCAGAGATTCAAAACCCTTCTGGAACCCTTAATTTCCCAAATAGACTTGGTCATTTTTCAGCTTCAATATAACCAAAAGGATTTAATACTAGCCAAAGAATTGTTTCTTGAGTCTTCCACTCCAGTTCATCTTGGCTGGAAATACAGTTCACAGGTTATCACTGGTGCCCAAGGTCCTCTCAAAGGAAATCATAAGTCAAATTCATTAAACCCATGATTATGGGAGGAATGCCACCTTGCAGTGGATTTAAAAACATTTAATTAGGCCAGGCACGGTGGCTCACACCTGTAATCCCAGCACTTTGGGAGGTCGAGGTGCATGGATCACCTGAGGTTAGGAGTTTGAGACCAGCCTGGCCAATATGGTGAAACTCTATGGTAAAAATACAAAAAGTAGCCGGGTGTGATGGCAGGTGCCTGTAATCCCAGCTATTCAGGAGGCTGAGGCTGGAGAATCGCTTGAACCCAGGAGGCGGAAGTTGCAGTGAACCGAGATCGCGCTGTTGCACTCCAGCCTGGGAGACTTGAGTGAGACTTTGTCTTAAAAAAAACAATTCATTAGCCCTAGTTTACAACAGACTGTCTGAAAGATGATTCAACAGTGTGTAATTTGTGCTGAAAAGAGCCCTCAGGCATGGCCATTCCCTCTAAAAGGGTTCCAATAAAAGAAATTAGCCCCTTCCAGGGATTTTTAGGTGGACTTCACTGTGATGCTCTGAGCATGTGGAAACATCAGGTCCCTTTTGGTATTTGTTGATGGCTTCACTGGGTGGTTTGAAGCCATTCCCTGCAGAACAGAGAAGGCCACAGAAGTGGCTAAAGCCCTACTTAAAGAAATAATCCTTATGTATGGACTTTCTGTAACAATTCAGAGTGATAATATGTCCACATTTACTTCCAAGTTAACTTAGGAAGTGTCAAATGTTTTGATAATAAATTGAAAACTGCCCTATGGTGAGCAGAGTCCACTGGAAAGATGGAAAAGATTAAATCACACCTTGAAGAAAATGATTGCAAAAATCTGTCAAGAAACCAGTTTAACCTTGAATAAGGTGTTATGCCCTTCCCTGATGTGTATCTGGGTAGTGGCCCAAAGTAAGCTCCAACTGAGCTGCTTTAAAACAATGTATGGAAAACCATTCCTGGCCTTGCTAAAGGAAAAGTGCCTGGTATAACAAAAACAGATAGCAATTAAACAGTATTTAAAGATCTTAAATGGAGTTCTAACCTTTGTTTATAAACTTGCTTCTAACAGCCTACTGATTCCAACAGACGTGCCCCTCCATCACTTTAAAGTGGGTGACCAGGTCCTTCTCAAGTTGTGGACAGAGTGCAGGCCAGGGGACCACCTCATCCCCCCAATAAACTGCTCCCTAAGGAGTACTACCGACTCCCCACTTGTCAGCCATGCTAGCCAGAATAGAATTTTGGATCCATCACCCTCGAATAAAACTTGTCCCTACAAACTTGAACAGGAAAAGAAAAGCCTTGGCTACGGGAGCGTCTTGGGTTGCTGTTTCAAGCCAGGTCTACTGACAGAAAAGCAAAATGAATTGGGTCTTTATAGTTTGGGTCATGAATGCCTTGATTTCTTCTTTTTCATGGAAGCACAATTCATTGTTATGGATTTCCCAACCTCTAGATTCTTCTGCTAACTTATTTTGGTATTGGATATGTCAACCTAAACCTCATCTGTTCTAGACCATTATGACTCTCTGATGCAGACAGCTTATAATGTTTCAAATATCTGTATCTGCACATTTGAGTACCCAAAGACTCCCCAAAGTGTGGAGTATCAAGTATGCCTCATCTGACTCATTCATGGAGCTACCAAACACCCTTGTTTGTATTTGGCTTCTTGACAGAGATGTCCCCTTTCATTCTTAAAGTATGTCATATGAAAATTCTCATTGGATGATGATTTGCAAAGAACTTCATTTGACCCCAGTTTTGCAGCATGGGAAGGATATTGGATAGGCCCAGCCTTACCTGAGTGTGACAACAGCATAACAGGTCCGTGGGTAGATTAAATGGCTTTAATAACAGCCACAACTATTGACACCATGACCTGTGCTCCTGTGGGATGTTTTTCTGTCTGCAGTCAGGAAACCCATCCTTGGACCTATAGGTGCTTTAAGGGAGGAGATCATGGACAATGTTTATTGGGATACTCATTTACGCCATTATCAGAACACAGTAATATAATACTAGAGAAGTTCCTTAAAACTTTTCCAGGGTCTCAAGGAATTTTGGAAGAAGACTCCATGGGGGTGGTCCCCGAAAAAAAATTTTCAGGAGGATTCCTGCTGGCCCAGGGTACTTCTTTGGACACACTTTGCTCCTATGATGAGGGTGGCTTCTCATCAACATGTTTTTAGAAACTTATCTAACACTTTAAGGACTATATCTGACGAAACTGCTGCTGCTATTGCAGCATAGCAAAAGTCTTTGGATTCTCTAGTTGAAGTTGTTTTGGATAATTGCATAGCATTAGATTACCTGCTGGCTGAACAAGATGGAGTAGGTGTAATACCAAACTCTTCCTGCTGCACTTAGATTAACAACTCAGCCAAAGTTAAAATGCATATAGATAAAATAAGAAAACAAGCTTCATGGTTAAAACAAGTAAATGATGAAGCAGGATTAGGTGATTGGTTTTCTGGATTATTTTGTTGGATCCCACAGGGATCTGATTTGTATTTTCTGGCATCTTTAAATTTGGCTTACCTCTCTTATTAATTATTATTATTCAGTATTTACTATTATTTTTTGAGATGGAGTTTCACTCTTGTTGCTTAGGCTGGAGTGCAGTGGTGCAATCTCGGCTCACTGCAACCTCCGCCTCCCGGGTTCAAGTGATTCTCCTGCTTCAGCCTCCCAAGTAGCTGGGATTACAGGTGCCTGCCACTACGCCCAGCTATTTTGTGTGTGTGTGTGTGCTGTTGTGTTTTGTTTTGAGCCAGAGTCTCGCTCTGTTGCCCAGGCTGCCAGGCTGGTGTGCAGTGGAGTGATCTCAGCTCACTGCAAACTCTGCCTCTTGGGTTCAAGTGATTCTCCTGCCTCAGCCTCCCGAGTAGCTGGGATTACAGGTCATACCACCACCACACCTGGCTAATTTTTGTATTTTGAGTAGAGATGGGATTTCACCATGTTGGCCAGGCTGGTCTTGAACTCCTGACCTCAGGTGATCCACCCGCTTCAGCCTCCAAAGTGCTGGGATAACAGGTGGGAGCCACCTCACCTGGCCTCTTATTAATTATTATTGAAGCTTATTTCTTTATTAATGTCATCATCAAATGTGATTTAAGGTGCTTCTCTAAGACTATAGATAAGAGTACTCAGATAATGGTATTGCAATGTGCAGGGTACTGGCCCAGCACCTGTGAATATTTTCAAATTCAGGTGGATAGGTTATGTTTATCAATTTCCCTCATCTTTACCCCTTATCAGCAGGAATTAGCCAGAAAAAAATGACACCCTTTTTTCTACATTAATGAGTAATAGATAAAGACAGGCCCCTTGAGCTTTCAGCACCCCAACATTTTTTGTGACAGAAATAATAAAAATTCTGATCGGGCCCTTGCCTGCTTGCACAAAAGCCAACATCTCCTGTTACCATAATATAATTATAAACTGCTGATGTATTGTTTCTTTGTCAAGGAGGAGAAAAAAGTTCAGAGTTACAAAATGTTTTTTCTGAAGGAATGAATGCATTTATAGACATTGCAAACGGCTGCTCACTCTCAGAAGTCTAGTTGCTCAAGGTGTTATCTGAGATTGAAGAAGCACAGACTTCTTCCCTCAGTTCCTTGAAACTTCCCCTCCTTACTCTCTAACCATATAAAAACTTTCTGTTTTTGTTGTTGCTGTTTGTTTGTTTGTTTTTAAGGTGGATTTCAGGGAGCTTACTCTTCTGCCTTCACGCTTTGGTTAAATTAAATAAACTTTTCTGTATCTCCAAGCAACAGTGTGTCATTGTGTGCCATTAGTTATGCATTGGGTACACAGTTCTGAATTTAGTGTTCTACAATAACACTTTAAACAAATTCTGATAGATAATAGAGAGAGGTAGAGAAGAAAAGAAAGGAAGAAAGAAAGGGAGAAAGGAAGGAAGCAAGGAAGAAGGAAGGCAAGAAGGAAGGAAGGAAGGGAGGAAGGAAGGGAGGCAGGGAGGGAGGGAGGAAGAGAGAGAGGGAGAGAGATATTAAGTGCCCCTATGGTTCTGTGCTGCTCTGAGACTGCAAACTTCTAGTGAAGCATGTATCCAGGTAAGTAAATTTGAGTTTGTCTTTTTTTTTTTTTTTTTTTTTTTTTTTTGAGATGGAGTCTCTCTCTGTCGCCCAGGCTGGAGTGCAGTGGCGCGATCTCGGCTCACTGGCAAGCTCTGCCTTCTGGGTTCACGCCGTTCTCCTGCCTCAGCCTCCTGAATAGCTGGGACTACAGGTGCCCGCCACCACGCCCAGCTAATTTTTTGCTTTTTTTTTTTTTTTTTTTTTTTTTAGCACAGACAGGGTTTCACCGTGTTAGCCGGGGTGGTCTCTTATCTCCTGACCTCATGATCCGCCCGCCTCGGCCTCCCAGAGTGCTGGGATTACAGGCCTGAGCCACCGCGCCCGGCCAATTTGAGTTAGATTTCTATGGGAACTTTACCTTTCAGAAATCAGGACTAAGGGTCTAGATTCAGGAATTCTATAAAAAGAGGTAGGGCCCTATTTCAGACACAGAAGCAATATTCCAAAATATTGAAAAAGATCTTAAAATGGTGCACAGGCAAACAAAAGAAAATAAAACATTTAGGTACATATCATCTCCACCCTAAACTTCAAATATCAGGAACTCTACAATTAAATATCTGCTCCAAAAATATTACATTTTTTGTTCCAGCAAGAAACATTTTCTGTTTCACAGAGTGTATTTAATTCTAACAATTAGAGATTTTGTAAAATAGTCTTCGTGGGAAAGTACTGAAAGCATTAACATGTGGTCTGGATATAGGCAGATCATCAACAATTGGACACAGAGATACAGCTAGCATTCGCCTCCATAATCATGTAAACATGAGTTTGGGCTAGGGTTGAGACCTGATTTCTACTCTTCTACTACCTTGACACAGTTGATAAATGACAGCTTAGAACACCAGAAATTGTAAATTTGTAAGTATTGGCATGAAGCCCTGAAAAGAATAATTTTAAATCTCCTCTAGATTCATCAGGAAAGACTTCTGGGATACACTGGCGATGTCTGCCATGGGAAGCTGAGTGGTTAAGGAGGACATAAGAAATAGGCTGTGCATGGAGGTTGATCTGGCAGCGAAATAAAACACAGCATGAAAAGATAGGACATAGGAAATTTCAAAGAGTTGTCTGGTGATGACTCAGTATATCCCTTATCTGTGTACTTCATTAAATATTTATATAACGCATTCTGAGATTTCCTGTTCTATTTTATTGTCCTCTGATCTAGTTTATTCTCTTTCATTTCATTTTAAAATGCTGGTAATGTCCTACAAAAATAATTTTATAATGTACTCTTCAGTTGTAACTTGCAAGTGGAAAAAACTGCTACTTATTTGTCAACCCAGTTGGAGTGGCAAATGTAAAATGCAGCTACTCAGGGTTGATCCAGACTGTTGTCTCTAATCTGCTTAGGTAGACCATAGCCAGCTCTGTGCCATTTTTATAGGTAAAGATTCTGGCACAGAATTCCAATACAATGTATTTTTTTCATGTGATTTAATTAGTAAAAATAAAGGTCATTAAATGAGAATTTCACCTATGAACATCATAATTGAAATTCATCCAGCTGACAGATGAACACATAGATCTGTTTGTTTTTTTGTTTTTTGTTTTTTTTTTTTTTTTGAGATGGAGTCTCGTTCTGTTGCCCAGGCTGGAGTGCGGTGGCGCGATCTCAGCTCACTGCAAGCTCCTCCTCCCGGGTTCCTGCCATTCTCCTGCCTCAGCCTCCTGAATAGCTGGGGACTACAGGCACCCGCCACCACGCCCGGCTAATTTTGTTTTGTTTTTGTATTTTTAGTAGAGATGGGGTTTCACCGTGTTAGCCAGGATGGTCTCGATCTCCTGATCTTGTGATCTGCCCGCCTTGGCCTCCCAAAGTGCTGGGATTACAGGTGTGAGCCACCACACCTGGCCAAATCTGTTTTTTAAAAAACAAAAATATGTAAAGAAAGCAAGGCAGGGGAATAAATTACTGTAGTGAGATAGAAAAATCAAAAAACATGTTTCAGAATATGAATTCAGGGTAACTAAACAAAGAAGAATTAGTAGAAGAAATAGAAAAGGCATATAGGTTTTGGATTTATTCAGGTTTCAGTTTTACTCAAGTATCTGGAATATCCTAGCTGTGAGATTTGCAGTTTAATGTTAACATTCTCTCTCTTTTTTTATTTATCTTGAGCACTCAATACATGTCAATTATCTTCCTTTTCCACAAATCTAAGGAATTTTGCATCATCATTACCTAAATAAAACAGTTGATCAATTAAAAAAAAGATATTATTTTAGGTCACCAGATTCACCATTGCTGTACCCAGTCTATCATGGGATTCTTTATCCATCTATGTTGTATCTTTCTTGTGGTGTAGAGTTACAACCAGTTACATTATTCTAAAAGTGGCTTGAGTAAAAATAAAACTAGCCCGTTTATTCATTTATCTATAAAAAAATCTGTACTTAATTTGTTAATAAAGGGTACGATTATTCTTAAAATTCATGCTGTCGTATTAGACTTCCAGCAGGCATACAGGCCAATGTGAGAAAAAAAACCATAATTTGAAAAGTAGAAAAAAATGAAATATGATAAAGACACCTACTATTTTTTGGAGTATTCTATATCAAGTATATAGCCACTAAGCTAAATGGATGGATTTAGAGAGAACAACTTCTATTTTAACAGAACTTTGGTCTTAGATGTAGGATGAGAAAGCATCAAAAACTGAACTGGAAACATTTACATGTACAGTGTCAGCAAGTGTTCATGATATTGACCAAGAAAGTTGGGATTAACAGACTAAATTTCACTTGGTCAGAGCATATTTGTAAACCTTTAAAATCCAATGAAGACACGTTCAAACAAGGAAATTGCAAAAATAAATTCTCATCTATAGGTAGGCAAAAAATAAAATATGATCTTCAATTAACTCAGGCACTCTGTAGGTGAAGATCTGCAGTATTGCACTCCAGCCAAAATTTCAAGCTAGTAAAAATCATTGTTAAAGAAGATTTTATATGTAGCTTCTTTTTTTTTTTTTAATGTGAGTAAGGGAGACATAATAAGCTTGTATACTAATGGTATTACAAGAGTTGGAGGTAGGATAAAATAATGTTGGGTCAGTTATTTCTTAGTGCTTACAAAATGGGTAAAAGTTTATGTAAATAAAATGGCTTGCCTTGCCTAGATTATACAGTAGGTTTGTGCCACCTGGAAATAAATGCCTGTACTCTAAACTTTGCTTGAAACTGGATTCTACATGGTGGTTGATCTGGCAATAAAATAACATGCAAGCAGGAAAGACATGAAATCGTAATTTCTATTTCTTCAGTGAAATCTCAGCACATCTCTCATTTACAGACATGATGTGATCTATTCTTCCTCCCTCTATAACATTATGTCTGAGCCACTCAAAAAATGCAGCAAATGCTATCCTATATTATTGGAATGTTTTTCATTTTTATCCTTTATCCATTCACTCAACAATCCACTAAAACGTAATCAGTATGTGCCAGAAACCAAACTTATCTTCAAAAAGGAGTAGATGATGAGATGTAAAATCTGGCACTCAGAAAAGGTGGTCCAGGTTGAATATATTGATCTAAAATATTTTTACTGAGACTATAATATCCTTAAAGGTAGGATTATGTTTTATTAATTAGATGTTCCATATAATGAATCCTATCATTTGAATAACACTATTAGAAACACTGTCATTCCATTTAAAATTGAAGACATGCATATATATCCCTGACCAAGCACTTCTTGTGACTTTAACACTTTTTGGCTAGGCGTGGTGGCTCACGCCTGTAATCCCATCACTTTGGGAGGCCGAGGTGGGAGGATCACCTGAGGTTGGGAGTTTGAGACCAGCCTGGCCAACATGGTGAAACCCTGTCTCTACTAAAAATACAAAAAATTAGCCAGGCATGGTAGCGTACGCCTGTAATCCCAGCTATTTGGGAGACTGAGGCAGGAGAATCGCTTGATTTCAGGAGGTGGAGGTTCCAGTAAGCCAAGATCACACCACTCTTCTCCAGCCTGGATGACAGAGCAAGACTCAGTCTCAAAAACAAAAACAGACAAACAAAAATTTTTGACTGCAATCTACAGTAATCATCAGTAGAAAATACATTTTAAAATCTAAGCCAGCACACATATATAATAATATACATATACAATGACATACATATACAATTTGTATAAGTGCACATATATGCATTTGAACACTTACTATTGCAGCACACCATATATTTCTTTTTAATTATACTGTCTTCTATTTTGTTCTATTTTTAAATAATGGTTGCAATTCACTAAGTTATTTCCACAGGCCACTAATGAGTTTTAACCTTCTGGAAAAATATTGTACGATATTGTACTAAAATGTCTCTTCTATTTGCATACCAAGGGATGTTTATAACAGTGCTGAAAATAATTATAGCCTTAGTAACAAAATTGGTCATACATACCAGAATGAACAAAGTATGGTATATTCATAAAATTTTTCACTCTGTGTCAGAGAAAATACATGAATTACAGCTATATGTATCAATAGGTTTCAGAAATAATTTTGAGAAAATATCAGGTCACAGTGATATACAAATAATATGTTTCTATTTATGTAAATTTTTATTGTGAGTAAAACCAACTAATATATTCTTCGGTAAAGAAACACCTATGGTAAACAAAATGAGCAAGAAGCATGAAGTATGAAAAGTGATGAATACAAAATTCAGGATATTGGTTATTTCGGGGTTAAAGACTGTTACAACAATACAGGAGTACATGATACCTCAAAGATACCAATAATATTCTATTTTCTAAGTAGATTGATAAGAAACATGATACTTGTGCTAGTCTCTACTGTGTATCTACCATACAATGTTACAACAAATCAATTTATAAATAAATTAATTTAATGAAAGATTTAGGATTTTAAAAATATCCTTAGAATTCTATGAGAAATTTTATGCTAATAATTTATTTATATGTATATAGACAAATTTATTTTAAAACATAACTTGGAAAAAATATAAAGAAGAAATAGAAAATATGATAGATCTGCTACTACTAAAGGAGTTGAGTGAGTAGTACACACACACTTTTCTTGGAAGTTCTTCAAAACTTCAAAGGAGGTATAATTCTTAAATTATAGAATATATGTAACAAAGATAACAGAGTAAAAGATTCCCCCAAAAAAGTAGCCTATATTTTGAAAAGCATGTCAAAACATACAGAGAATGTTTTACAAGTAATTCTAAGGAAAACATAGGTCAAGAAATTGAATATCACTAGCTTTGAATTTTAATTTTAATAGTAGAATTGCCTATCGAGTTTTTTGCCACCCAAAACCTCTTTTCATGCTCTGAAACTTTTGTTATAATTCCCTTATTTTATTGATAATTTTACCAAATATGTTTGTATCTGTAAAAATACGGTATAGTTTTACCTGCTTTTGAATTTTATTCTAAGATAGGCAAACTTTGTCCAGAAAGGTCAGAAAGTATTTTAAAATTATGCACCATAGTTCTCTGTCACACCTGCTCAACTTTGCTTTTGGTAGCCTGAGAGTAGCCAAAGACAATATGCAAATAAATATCCATGCCTGTCTTTCAATAACACTGAATTTTATCTACAAAAATAGGCAGCCAATCTGCAAAAAACAGTTTACTAATCTCACCTTATAGGAATGGAATCCATTTTTTAGAATATTATTGTATGTGAATACTCCATAATCATTTACATATGCATTTTTTAGAATATTACATGAATATTCCATAATTATTTAAGTATGCATTCTATTTTTGATACCTTGTTAGATTGTGTCCAGTTTTGTAGCTATTACAAAAACATGCAGCTAGTGTTCAATAAACATTCTGGTAATTCTATTCTGATGCCAGTATGCATAAGAATACCTTAGGCTATACATGTAGGGATACAAATCATTAAGACTGAAGAAGTATTCAGTACATGGTCAACTTCATCAGATAATACTAAGTTACTTTCAATGATGGAAGTATCAATTTGCATTCTTAGTAGAGTATATGCAAGTTCTCTTTATTCTATATTCTTATCAAAACTTGAAATTGGCTTTCTAATTTTTTACTAATCTAATAGGTGTTCAAGTATACTATCCATTCTTTAGTTTGCAGTTCCTTATTAATTAATTATTTGTCTAGATTTCCATTAGTATTTGGATTTCCTCTATTTCAAAATGACTATTCATATTTTTTTCCAATTTTTCAAATAAGTTTTTTTTCTGTTTTCTTAAGGATTCTTAATACATTCTAGATTTTCTCTATCTTCATTACAATAATTTGGTTTGCTTTGGTTTTCCACCCTACTTCTTACATCATTGTAGCCCAAGGCATAAATATTTTCACATAAGTTTTTCTCTAGAAGTTTTGTAATTTTAGCTTTTATACCTAGGTTTATGGTTTATTTTGAGATAATTTTTGAAACACGCTGTGAGGTATGGATAAAACTTTATTTTTTAAATGAAACTAGTCAGTTGTTTCATTTATATATGAAAAACCCTTTCCTTTATTCAATGGGTTTCCTTTAAATATTTGTTAAAATTATTTAACTATATATGAGAGGGTCCATTTCTGGAAACTATTATCTTCCAATAATCAATTTGACTATCTTTAGTCCAATACTATACTATCTTGATAATGATAGCATGATAATAAATTTGAAAATCAGCCAAATAAGCCAGATAAATGTGTTTTTTTTCCAAAGATATTTAGTCTCTACTAGTCCTTTGCATTTGTATGAAAACTTTAGGACCAGCTCATCAATTTCTACACAAAGAAAAGCCTGCTAGGGATTTGATTGTCATTTCATTGAATCTATAGATTAATTTTCAAATTGATGTCTTTGTGAGTCTCTTGAGCCATGAACAAAGTGTATCTCTGCATTTATTTAGGCCTTCTTTAATAACTCTCAGGAATGTTGCGTAGATTTTATTCTGTGAGTTTCATGCATATTTTGTCATATTGTCAAATTTAACCATAATTATTGCATGTTAATGCTATTGTAAGTGATGAATTTTATTACATGCTATATTATATACTCATTGCTAGCATATAGAAATACCATTTGTAATTGATCTATTTTACAAACTTGCCATGCTCCCTTATTAGTTATACTAGCTTCTTCTGTAGATTCTGTAGTATTTTACACACAGATGATCATGTCATCTATAATGAGACAGTTTTATTTTAGCATTTTCTTTCTTTCTCGTTTTTTCCCCCAATGGCTAAAATTACTAGTACAATAGTGAAGAAGCAGGAGTAGACATTCTTTCCTTGTTCTCAGTCTAAAAATAAAATAATTTAGACTATGATCACTAAATAAAATATGAGATGGACATTTTTCACATGTGCCCTATATCACAATTTGTCATATGCATCTTTCGTATGTGCAGTATATCCTAAACATGATGGCTTAGGAAATGTTCTACTATTCTCAGATTACTGAGTTTTTATCAGAAATTGATGTTATATTTTTTTCAATTACATTTTCTGTTTTTGTTAAGACGATTATACATTTTTTAGCTTCAAGATGGCTGGCTAAGGTATCTGGCAGTCACCTCCACACACACACACACACACACACACACACACACACACACACACACAATGTAGTGAGTAGATATTCATACTTTGAATAGATCATCTAAGACAGAACACTTGAATTCAACAGCAGAGTGACAGAAAACCCTAAAGCGACAAAGGAGAGGGAAGTGAGTCAGCCTGCCCAGCCAGGATCACCTGGAGCCCCAGAGAGTCTCCCCAGTGTGGGGAAGGAGTTAAGTGAACAATTTGCAGCAGTCCACCACGAACTCTTTCAATCCCAGCCAAGGGAGAGCCCTTCAACTCTTGCGGACCCTGAGACTAACACAGGAAACTGCCTGCAGACTGCACAACAGTGTTCGTCAAGAGAGGAAGCTCACACTGGGTCCCACACATCCCCTGAGATGTTTATTAACATTAAGCAGCTACAGCACAGTGCCATTTCAAGAGTCCAGCCCCCACTAAACTGCACAGTGCCTTGGGACTCAACAGACTACACATCTCCACATCCCTGGAGCCACAGTGACATCCTCAACATGTAGCTACCACTGCTGCTGACTGCTGCCACTTGGGCCAAAGCATGAGCCACCGGCAGGGACCCTCCCCTGCCAAGCAGCCAAGTAGGGGGATTACTGTTCATGAACAAGTGCCTCGAGGAACAAATGCCACCTTCTGCACCTGCCACCTGAGGCTGAATCACATACTCACCAGCTGTCTGCCTACAGCTGCTGAAAGCAAACCTGCCCTCCCCAGCAGCAGGGCCACACCCATGACCTCCATAACCAGGGCCTGGGCATCACCCCAGACCAGACGACTACAGCCAGCACCTATATGTACCACCAGGGAGCCTGAGGACAGGTCTTCCTGGCCTAGCTTTGCCCCCACCAGTGCCCAAGCACACTAACTATGGACTTGGGGATCACCGTGCACCATTCACCATCTTTGGCACTTGAGCACTCTTCCTGGGGCTCAGGCAGCCTGATGCTACCCCCACAGCTGGCACTCCCCTGCATATGCCATCTGTGGGCCCAGGGACTGGTCTGCCCAGCTCATCACAGCCAGCACCAATATTAACATGGACTGGGAGCCAGAGAGTTGTCTCATTACTGCTACAGCTATCGCCTACACCATGCCTGCTGCCCAGGGATCCCAGGGATCCCAGGACCCATACAACTTCCTGGCCCACTACTGCCACTGCCAGCACCCAAGCAAGTCACTTGGAGGCCCAATAATTGGCCCACCTGGATCCACTAACACCAGTGCCAACATATGCCATCCTCAAGCCCAAGGACAGGCATGCTTGGCCCACTGCTGCTACCACAGGGGCCTGTGGACTGGTCCACCTGGCATCCCCATCCACAGCAACAACTTCACCACAGCCTCCATGAAGAACTGCACCCTGAGCAACTGAGGAAATCAGAGACACCACTGATACTGTTTACATCAGAAGAAATTATGTGGAGACTGCACTAGTGTATGCACCCAGAATAAAAGCCAAAATGTCTTACCCAAGCAACAGTATAGGTACAACTTTATGAAAAAGTCCTCTCCTATGAAAAGAAATTCAAAAACTTGGAAGAAGCAATTGTTACATCAGATGTGTAGAAATTAATGTGAGGACACAAGAAACATGAAAAAACAAGGAAATATGATACCTCCAAAGGAGTACAATAATTATCTAGCAACAGATTCCTATGAAAAATAAATTTATGAAATGTTGAGAAAATATAACCAAAAATAATATTTTAAAAGCTCAGTAAGATGGGAGAGAACACAAATAATGCAAACAAATTAGAAAAACAATGTAGGCTATGAATGAGAAATCCACAGAGGAAATAGATATCATTAAAAAAAATCCTGGAACTGAAAAGTCCATTGAATGCAATAAAAAACACATATGAGAGCTCAACAGTAGACTAGATCAAGTGGAAAAAAGAATTTCAGAACTTGAAGACAGACCTTTTGAAATAAGTCAGTAAGACAAAAATAAAGGAAAAAAAATAAAAATAAAATGAAGAAAGCCTACATGACATATAGAACAACACAAAGCAACCAAATATTTGAATTTCCAATGTCCCAAAAGGTGAAGAGAAAACCAAAGAAATAGACAACCTATTTAATAAAATCATAGCTGAAAACTTCTTCCCCAGTCTAGCAAGAGATTCATACATCCAGATATAGGAAGCTCAAATATTCCTAAGCACATACAATTCAAAAAGGTCTTCTCCATGGCACATTACAGAATGAAACTGGACCCCTGTCTCTCCTTACAGACAAAAATAAACTGAAGATGGCTTAAGTATAAGATCTGAAAAAATGAAGCTATTTGAAGAAAACATTTAGGAAACACTACAAGACATCTGTCTAAGCACAGATCTTTATGGCTAAGACCTCAAAAGCAAAGGTAACAAAAATAGGCAAATAGAGTTATGTTAAACAAAAAATCTTCTTCACAGCAAAGGAAAGAATCAATAGAGTGAAGAAACAACCTATTGAATGGCAGAAAATATTTTTAAACTATTCATATGCCAAGTGATTCAGGATATACAAGCAACTGAAAAATCTCAACAGTGAGAAAACAAATAATGTCATTAAGAAGTGTCTAAAGGACATAAATAGACATTTCTTAAAAGAACACATACAAATGCACAATCGATATATGAAAAAAATGCTTAATATCACTAATTATCAGGGAAATAAAAATCAAAACCACAATGAGATATTATTTTACTCAAGTTACAATGACTAGTACTAAAAAGACAAAAAATAACAGATACTGTTAGGAATGTGAAGATCAGAGGACCCTTATACACTGTCGGTGGGAATGTAAATTAGTGCAACCACTATGGAAAACAGAATGGAGATTTCTCAAAAACCTAAAAATAGAACTACCACACAATCCAACAATCCCACTACTGAGTATTTATCCACAGGAAACAAAATCAATATATCAGATGGATACTGGCAATCCTATGTTTATTGCAGCACTCTTCACAACAACAAAGATATGGAATCAACCCAAGTGTCCATCAATGAATAACTGAATGAGGACTAAATGGTAAATATATACAATGGAATATATTCAGCCATTAAAAAATTAAATCATGTCACTTACAGTAATATGGCTGGAATTAGAAGTGACTGTGTTAAGTTAAATAAGCTAGTCACCGAAAGAAAAACATTGCATATTATCACATATTTTGGGGCTAAAAAGTTGATTTTTGTGGAGTTAGAGAGAACAAGAAACACTAACTCTAGTCACTCAACTCCAGTGTCACTTATCCTAAAAGGAATGCTACTATTATATTAACATGGTTCTGTCTGCAGCACCATTTGGAGTTCATTGCTGTCAGCCATTTCAGTGAGTTGCAACACTAGTTGCCTCCACCAGATGTTGCTGAAATGTTCCTGCCATTATCCATAAATAAATTTCCTTTGAAAGTAGCCTGCTACTGGGCCTTTGTAATGACTGAATGATTGACCGTGGACCACCAAGTTACCCTACAACCTGAGCTGAGTAACATTAGCTGGGTGCTCTCTGACTCACCAAGCCACAAAGCTGGGTGTGCACAGCACTACTCCACCATCATATGGAGCAGTGGGTATGTAATTGAGGCCAAGCAGGCCCTGAAGGCACAAGTTATACAAAGAAGTGACACAAATGCCTATGATTTCCCCTCCTGCTGCTACACTGCCTTCTCTCTCCCTGCTTGTGTGTATAGCCTCATTGTAGCAGTTTCCTATGATAAGTTGACAGAGGTAGGAAAGGCTCAGGCCTGGTTTTACAGATGGTTCTGTCTGATAGATAAGCACCATCCAAAAGTGGATAGCTGTGGCACTACAGCCCCATTTTCAGGCATCCCTGAAGGATGGCAAGGAAGGCAAATCTTCCCAGTGGGCAAAACTTCGGACAGTCTACCTGGTTGTGCACTTTACTTGGAAGGATAAATAGCCATATGTGTGACTATATACCATTTCATGGGCTGTAACAAGTGGTTTGGCTGGATGGTCAGGGAATTTGAAGAAACTTGATTGAAAAATTAGTGAGAAACAAATTTATGAAAGAGGTATGTGAAAAGACCTCTCCGAATGGGCAATACAACATAAAGATATTTGTGTTTCATGGGCATTCTCACAAAAGGTTGACTTCAGTAGAGAAGCATTTTAATAACTAAGTAGATAGGGCAACTCATTCTGTGGATAGCATCAGCCTCTCCTCAGCCACCCATGTCATTGCCCAATGATCTCATGAACAAAGTGATCATGGTAGCAGGGATGGATGTTATACATTAGCTCAGCAACATGGACTCTTCATTTCTAAGGCTGACCTGGCTACCCACCACTGTGTCAAATCTATCAGCAGTGGAGACCATTACTGGGTCAATGAAATGGCACGATTCCCTGGGATGATCAGCAAGCTACCTGGTAGCAAGTTGACTACATTGGATCACTTCTATTATGGAAGAGGCAGCATTTTTTTCTTACCAGAATAGATACTTACTTTGGATATGGATTTGCCTTCCCAGCATGCAATGCTTCTACCAAAACTATCATCTGTAAACTTACAGAATGCCTTATCCACCATAAAAGTATTAACAGTTAACAGAAATGAGGATTATAATTCCACACAGCATTGCTTCTGACTAAAGGACTTGTGACAGCCAAAAAAGTGTGGCAATGAGCTCATGATAATAATATTCACCAGTCTTACCACGTTTTCCATTATCTTGAAACAGCTGGTTTGATTGTAGGACTTCTTGGCCTTCATAATTATATGAGCCAACTCCTGATAATAAATTATATATTAATAATCAAGTGAATAACGTGACTCATTTTGCAGCTGCCAGTCACCCTCTTTCCCTAGATGTTCCTCTTATCACTCAATGAACCAATGAACTTATATAGAGAGAGACTATGTATTTATATAAAGTATAGAATATATATAGTCTATATTCTATAGACTGCATACTATATATTCATAGACTATATATTCAATAACATAAACTATATATATATATATATATGTTATATATAGTTTATATTCTATTGGTTCTGTTTATCTGGAGAACCCTCACTGATACAGATGCTGAAATTAAGAAATTACTTTTAATCAAAGTTTAAATCTAGGTCACCTACAGGAAAATACTGTCTAAAGATGAAGCAAAGTCTTGACTACAAAAACTGTTAAAACCTCAGAAATAAAAAAGGTGATATCTCAGAGTATGATTCAATCACACAAATGCCCTTTTAAAAAGTTTAGGGATGAGATGGGCATTACAAATTATCTCAAATATCAAGCTGTCCATAGAAAACTGTTATGGTCAGAATTGTGTACCCCCAAAATTCATAAACTAAAGTCCTAACCCCCAGCACCTCATAATGTGACTCCACTTGGAAACAGGTCCTTTAAAGAGATGACTGAGTTAAAATGAGTTTTTTATTAAGAAGGGATCATTAAGTTAAAACAGGGCCATATTCAATATGACTGATGTCCTTATATGAAGAGAAAAATTCAGACATAGCCACGCATAAAGGAAAGATCAAACGAAGACAAAGAGAGAAGATGACTATAAGTCAAGGAGAGAATTCTCAGAAGACACCAAAACTGCTGACACCTTAATTTTCCAGAACTGTGACAAAACAAATTTCTGTTGTTTAAGACATCCGGTCTGTGATATTTTCTGATGGCGTCCCTGACACACGAATATGCCATACAAATTTTAAGTGGTGTTAATGTCTTCTAGCCTTAATAACTTGCAAAATTTCTTATTCATCCTGCATTATCATAAGTTATAAAAGTGAAACATTTGTCATCGCTCAAAACGTATAGAAACTAAGTACAAATTTTCACTGTTGTGTTTTATTATGGCAGCACTTGCAGACTAATATGGAATCTTAATGGCCTTGCCCCTTCACTATCTACACAGGAACAAAAAGTAGAAAAAAATCTATGTCAAATAAATTAGTGGCTTTTATATCTGCCTAATTAAGTAAACTGCAGTTATATTCAGAGGAAGCCTACAAAGTTTTTGAGTGAATTATATCAGCAAAACCATTCCAGAATTAGATGAATGAAATAACAAGATGCTTTTTGAAATTTCAAATCCTACAGGCAGAAAGCAAGCTGGGAATACTACTTGGCTTCAAACACATTTACCAAAAATTAAGTATGACTCAAAGCGTATGATAAAAACCTCAGAGGGAGGAAATGAGAGCTGTGGAGAATTATTCTCAGGCCTTGAGACCTAATCAAGGAGCTGTCAACATTTGCCTGGCTAGATTTCAGAATTTCTATCAGTGACTCATTTTGCTTCTAATTTCCCCCCTTTTTAAACAGTAATGTCTTCAGGAGTTACCCTGTACCTGTCCCCTTACTGTATGTTGATCATGCAAAGAACAGAATGTGTCTCTCTAGTTTGACAAATCAACAGATTGACAAGAACTGTACTTAAGAAGCTGCACTTGTGGCACTGTTATTTGAGGAGAGTCATCACACATGAAAATAAGTTAGGCAGTGAGATTATGACCTTTAAGCTGGTGATGTAATGTGATGGAACTTTAGGGGAATGTGGGAGGAATATGAATTATTGGAATCAGAGTGCAGATTAAGAAAACAGCTTCTTAGATGGCCCCAATAATTCTAACCTCCTGGTGCGGTATTAACACCTTGTGTAATCCCCTCCTCTTCATTTTGTGAGAGTCCAGTGACTTTCTTCCAATAAGTACAATCTGGCAAAGGCGTTGAGCTCCCTTCTGAAAAATGTTCTTTCTCCTGCTTTTTCTCTTCTGCTTTATCTCACTTGTTCATTCTGATGGAAGCCAGCTGACATGCTGCATGTTGCCCAACGGAAAACCATATGGCGCGCAATGGAGGGAGCTTCTGGTCCACCGCCAAGGAGAAACTGAGATCCTCAGGCCAACAACAGTGAGGAACTGAATGTTGCTATCAATCACAGGACCGATCTTGGAAGTAAACCCTCCCTTAGGTGAGGCTTCAGGAGAGACAATGACTCTGGCTAACACCTTAACGTCATTCCTGTGGAAAATCTGGAGAAAGAATCAGCCAGCTAAGCTGCACCCAGAATCGTGACTCACAGAAGCTGTGAGATAATAATGGCTTTTTTCTTTGTTTGTTTTAAGCCATTGGGTTTTGCATTAATTTGTTACACAGCTACAGATGACTAATACAATCTGTGGCTTTCTTTTAGCAAATGGAATGTAAGAGAAGTGGTGCTGTGTAATCTCTAAGATTATTAGACCAAAAGAACTTCCACAGCTTCCTCCTTCCACATTAAAAATGCTGCCCTTAGGACTTTGAGACCAGCCTGGCCAACATGACAAAACCCCGTCTCTACTAAAAATACAAAAATTAGCCGGGTGCAGTGGCAGGCACCTGTAATCCCAGCTACTCAGGAGGTTGAGGCAGGAGAATCGCTTGAACCTGGGAGGCGGAGGTTGCAGTGAGCCGAGATCATGCCACTGCACTCCAGCCTGGGCGAAAGAGTCAGATTCTGTCTCAAAAAAGAAAAACAAAAAAAATGCTGCCCGTAGAGTGCTGAGTCAGCATATTAGAATTCTGACTACCCCGAGGCACTCACGCTGTGAGGAAACCCAGACTACCTGTAGGTGCTTAGTCGAAGGCAAGCCTAACATAGAAGCTGTCCTAGGCAGGCACTCGACATGGAGCTGAAGAAGCCTCCCTGTGATTCTTTTACCTAGCTAGTTGAGTCACTCTCACTCGAGTCTTCCAAGCTGAAGCAATAAATATGACGAAACAGAAAAAAGCCATCTTTTCAGTACTCTGCTTAAATTCTTATCCCACTGAATTCATTAGTTTAATAAAATTGTTGTTTTTGTGGCACTACAGTTGGAAGCAACTTAACATATTTTCTAGTCACCATGAAGCAGCTATGAGTCTGAAAAAAAAAAAAGAGCTATGAATCTCTTTACTTCTTAATAAAGACCATTTAGGAAAGTTTGCATTTAGCTGATAAGGGCCACAGTACATCTTAGTTGCTTACCCTATGGAAATATCAACTCTCCAGAATCACTCACCTCTTAAAAACACAGTACATCGCCTGGATCCATTATGCTGAGGGTATCATGCTAAATGGAACTAGTAAACTAAACATTACTAAACGTTTTAATACAACACATATGTGGCACAGAGTGGAAAACAAATCCTATAAAAATGTAGATAGCTGTCTGTCCTATGGTCTAGGGTATGTTCAGTCATCCCTTCCAAGGTAAAGGATGAATTCCTGCATCTCGCATTCTTACAACTAAGACACAGACACAGTGTCTGGTGATGCTCTTTGGAAGAATACACTTGTTGTCGGATTGTGCTATCAAAAACTATTTGCCAAATATTCCAAAAGTTTTCCAGTTTTTAATGGAACCCAGAAAAGAAAATGCTTTGTAACAGGTCCAGGATGCTGTGCAGGCTGCTCTGCTATTTGGCTTACGTAGCTAAGCAGATCAAAAGGTGCTCAAAGAATGTGTGGCAGATAGAATGCTGTATGGATCAGTGATAGACACTTATAAATGAATCACAGCACAATCCTTTAGAACTTTGGAGTAAAGCCACACCGTCCTCAGCATTTAACTATGTTCCCTTTGAGAAAGTTTCTGGCTTGATATAGTCCTTAATAGAGGCTGAATGAATGCTTGACCATTGACCATCTAATTATGCTCATTATCTAGAAGTTGTATAATAGACCAAGCTGTATATTTGGTTGATTGCAGCAGGACTTCATTATTAAATGGAAGGAGTACATAAATAGAGGGATCAAATAAATCCTTAAGTAATGAGTCAGTTACATGGCCACGTGGCTTGGATGTCTATGGCTCCTACTCCTGCCTCACTGTCTCCTCCATCTTAACCCACGTTTATGGCCTTATGAGGAGTTTCTTCTAGCTAGGTGATTAGGAGGTAATCTGGCAATTTCCATTGCTGTGCACCTAACTTGCCAAAAGCCAAGACCAATGCTGAGTCCCTGACGCTATTTCTCAGCATGATCAGTCAATTACCTGGTGGCAGATTGATTACATTGGACTACTTCCAACATGAAAAGAGCACTTGGTTTTACATTTCCAGAATTTGGTTCTTTATCTCCAGAATTTGGTTCTTTTTTCTCTTCCACTTCCTGAATTATTTATCTGTCTAATATTTCCCTCCTTCTGGCTATCACTCTGTCTGTTCCTCTCCCTCTTCTCCGTCTCTTCTCAATCATTCTCATTAAGTCACATACATAAGATGGGACATAATTTTTTTTTTCTTTTGATGCTACATAGACCTCCAATTTTAACCTACACTCAATACTCTAGAAAAACTGTTCTTATAAAGAGCAGTGATAACTTATGTCAAATTTAATTGCTATTCTTAATTGT
Source organism: Homo sapiens (assembly GCF_000001405.40). Taxonomy (NCBI): domain Eukaryota; kingdom Metazoa; phylum Chordata; class Mammalia; order Primates; family Hominidae; genus Homo; species Homo sapiens. The sequence goes on from NC_000002.12 coordinate 116,493,265, forward strand.
TTTCTCAGCAATATTCAAGAGTGACCAGATGTTTCACCTTGAAACACACTCCCCTCCCGATTTTCTTGGTCTTTCTAATATAAGGCTACTTTTTTGTCTTCCAGTCTCCTTTGTAGACTGCTCCTTCTTTATAAATGGACATTTTTGGGGTGTGGTTCAAAGCATGCTTCTTTTCCCCAAGGTGGCAGTAATACTGCTTAAGCTTGTGGGTTCTAAATTTGGACTATATAAATTTAAAATTTGCCTCCATCATTTACTGTGTGGCCATGGGAAAGTTACATAACCCTTTAAGATTACAGTTTTGCTTCTCTAAATAGAGTGTAGAACCACTACCTATTTCTCAGAGTTTTAACAAAGACTAAACAAGGTAAATCATGTGAAGTGCTGAGCATTTTTCCTGGAATCTAGTTAATAGTCAATAAATGTAAGTGATATTTAACCATACGTTGCTTCATAATCTTCACAGGCAATCTCATCCATTCTAGCAGCAAGATATGACATCTGTATGTTAGTAATTTTCAATGTATAGCTTTCCTGCGAATTTCTCACACCAGAAAATTAGGCGGTCATCTTGGGTTTCTGTTTTTCCTCTTTATACATATAACATCATTAGATATTTAGTGCCTTTCTTTTTCAGACTATGTCTTAAATATGTCTACTTTCAATTTTCAGAGGGCTAGTGACTTTCAACTTATCATTATTTATTTCCTTAAGGCTGAAATAGTCTCATTATTATTAACATTTCTCTTTCATGCTTCCTTCATCAGATCATTTGTCTTCAGAGTAGTCAGAATAATAAGTGTAAAACAAATCATATTATGATGCTTGACTGCTTAAAATTCCCACTGTGTTCATATAAAACCCAAATACTTTAAAATGACCATAAAAATCATACCTGACTTAGTACCCAACCTCATACCCTTCTAACCTTGTTCCCAGTAACCATACCTTTTGCTCACTATGTCTCAGCAAAGTAGTATTTTGGCCTCTTAAAATACCAAGTGTTGTGTTTCTTTCCCCTCACTCTCTTCATTACTCTTCCCACTGTTGGCCATGCACTCTTTCCCTTCCTATGGGTAACTCTCTCTCATTCTTCCCAAATGTACTCCTACATATCTAGTGGTTTTATGGTTCAAATTAAATAGGTAGGATCCTCTTCACCATAAGATTTAATGTTGAAAATTAAGAGGTTTTTTTTTTTAAAAAAAATCAGAAATAAATTCCCAAGTTAATATATAACTTCTTCAGGTTTGAGTACATGGCTGTTTCTGTTCCTTCTATCATTGTAGGCCTCAGCTTCATAATCCCTACAACCCTAATTACAGTACTTTTTAAGCACTCAGACATAGGCAGGGAAACCAAATTCATGCTCTGGTCTCCAAAATCACTGACTCTGTCCTCTAAAATTTCACAGGAAATGAATATCAATCCTCCTCTGCCAGTTTCTAACCCAGAAATCCAGTTGTTTTCTTATCATTTTAACCTTCACTCACTGCTGTGTATCTACATTTTATTCTCATCTAAGAGAGTTGTTGGCCTCATTTTTATTTTCAATTTCCCTTATAATGTTTATATGGGAATATATTTACACACGTATATTTATATAATTATATACATATGTATGTTGATAGTTATAGATATGTGTGTGCATATGTATGTGTGTATACTTATATTTTTAAAATAACTTACAGTATTGTTTTTTGTCAAGGGGTTCCAAATTCCTTTCATTGTGATGTGACAGGTACACATTCACAAAAATACTTACTTTGTAAATGAACAGGTATATAAATAATGAAATATATGAAAGCTATGTGGGATATTCTGGGAATTAAAAAGACAGAATTATGGGTGCTGAGACTCAGAATAATTTAATGACATAAAGGAAGTAGTAGATTTAGAGTATAGAAAATATCTGATTATTATTTTCACATAGAGGCATTATTATTAGTTTCAGTGATTGTATGGGGATGTAGTTCCACTTTGAAGAACTGTCATACCACTAACTTTGTTGTACAATATAGTACAATGATCCTGATTTAGACATTCAACAAGCCTGGCTTCTAGAATAGAAATATATGTATGTTATTACATGATTCATTTACTTCCTCTGAGAAATACTTCTTTCTTCAGTTAAACTTTTTCTAATTCAAAATACAACACACTTTTATAAAAATACACAAAACTAAAATACACTGCTCATTAAAATGTCAAAAAGGATTTGCTTACTTAACCTATATGCAGCTCAAAAAAGAGAACATTGACAATCTTTTTTGTGCCATCTCCCCCAATCAGTACTCTCTATCTACCTACAATTTCATCAGTGTCAGTCACTGCTTTCTTGATTTCGAACTATTTTTATACCTAAGAACACGTTAAAAATGAGTTTGTTTTTTCTTATTTTGATTTTTATATAGATGGAGTCAGACAATATCTATTATTTTGTGCCTGAACTCATTCATTCAACATTGCATTGTAAGAATCACCCATGTATATGTATGTGTGTATAAATGCAAATCATTCTCAGTGTATCTATTATTCTAATATATAACTGTCACACAATATATTTACTATTCTACACAAGTTATTTACACAGTTCAGTTGCACCAACTTACATTCATGAGAATAGCTAATAAGAACTCTAATTGTTTCACACCCTCACCAAGTCCTGATATTTTTATTGTTTTGTGTTTTAGCCTTATTAAGGCTGTAGTGATATATAATATTATGATTTAACATTCCATTTCCCTGATTTCCAATAAGGATTATAGCATTCAATTCAAAATATTTTATTTCCATTATGAGTATGACTTTGGCCCCTGTGACATTTAAATGTGTATCTTGTTGTTCAAACATCTAGAGATTAAATTGTAATATTTTGTTATTAATTCAAGCTTAATTAAATTATGATAAGAGAACAGATTGCATGAACTTAATCTCTGACATTTATTAAGACTCAATGGGTCTATGTGCAGAAAAGAGTTAGCATAGCAGGCCTGAAACTAAATGCACAAAGACCTGTTTGAAAGTTGGCCCTCAGCTGGCATCTGATAACTCAGATATTAAAAGGGTTCCTATCATAATCAGGACTGATAAAAGTAACTCACTGTGCCTAAAATGTTTGTACAAATTATGTTGTTTATGCTGAAGACTTACTTTACGTATGGGTTCTATGGAATTTTGGTATGTATGATGAAGAGGATGCCTGTGTAACCAACCCTTAATGAAAACCCTGGGCATTGAGTCTATAATAAGCTCCCCTGGTAGAGATTTCAAATGTGTCATTACAATGCAATGCTGGAGGAATTAAGTGTGTCCTGTGTGACTCTACTGGGAAAAGAGTTACAAAATCCTGAGCCTGTTTTTTTCTGGATTTTACCCATGCACCTTTTCCCCTTGCTGACTTGCTTTTCTTTTGCAGTAATAAATTATAGCCATAATTAAGACTACATTTTAATTTCTGTGAGTCCTTTTAGTGAATTGTCAAATCTGGTAGTGGTCTTGGGAACCCCTAGTATAGTAGGGGTCAGAAGTGGAATTTGCTAGAATGACCCTGGTTTACTGAAATATGGTGAAAACACTGGGAAGAGAAAGGCTCAAGGGTCCAGGGAATGGTAAGCCTTCACTTCCTGAGTGGCTACGGAGCTAGCCATGGTATGAAAATGCTGTTGAAATTGCTGTCTACTGAGAGATTTAAACATTACCTATGGAATTTGAAAATGATACCTGCAGCTCTATGAGCGTTGGCTTGCTGCACTCTCTAGCTGCTTTTGGCCATCCTGGTTAAAGCGAGGATCAAAGCATGCAGCATCAGTGATTTCTTTCTTTCTCCTCCGAGTAGTAAAAGAAACAGCCTGAATAGTCACAAATGTGAACTTTGTCTAAAAATGTTAAAATTTTCTATATTCTCTTCTCCAAGTGGGACGAAAACAGCTAAATCCATTTCCAGAGCTGGAACAAAGTGATAGATAATTGAGGATAAAGATGGGATGGGGAAGGGGGAATCACAATCTTGCCACATCTTCAACCTAACTGCCTTTGCTGCAGCAGCCCCACCCTTGCATTGTCAGAGGTGTTTGAACCAGAGCAACTCCATCTTGAATAGAGGCTGGGTAAAATGAGGCTGAGACTTACTGGGCGGCATTCCAAGACCGTTCGGCATTCTAAGTTACAACATGAGATAGGAGGTTGGCACAAGATGCATGTCATAAAGACCTTGCTGATAAAACAGGTTGCAGTAAAGGAGCTACCCAAAGCCTACCAAAACCAAAACGGCCACGAGAGTGACCTCTGGTCATCCATCCGCACTGCTACACTACCATCAGCACCATGACAGTTTACAAATGCCAAGGCAACATCAGGAAGTTACCCTATATGGTCTAAAAAGGAGAGGAGTGAATAATCAACCCCTTGCTTAGCATGCAATGAAGAAATAACCATTAAAATGTGCAACCAGTAGCTCTCGGGGCTGCTCTGTCTATGGAGTAGCCTTTCTTTTATTCCTTTACTTTCTTAATAAACTTGCTTTTGCTTTGCACTGCGGACATGCCCTGAATTCTTTCTTGCACAGGAGATCCAAGAACTCTCTTGTGGTCTGGATCCGGTCCTCTTTCCGGTAACAGCATCACAGTTAGATCTCCCCAGCAACTATAATCTTAACGCTATAAATGTGGAATTTACTGACAGGGGGTTGAATAAATTTGCAATACTTTAGAAAAGGATTTTTTAAAATTGGCTGTGGATTTTCTGGTTATTTGTATAATAAAAATGGTTGTAAATGGTATATACTTGTAATTTCATAAATTCTTAGGGGGATCTTCACAATCAGTGAAAGCTGCAAACGAAAGTGATAGTGGGACATAACTTCTTTGCTTTTTACCACTGATGGGTTGGCTGGAAGTTAAATTCATTAAGCATTTAAAACAAAATACGTCTTTGTAACACATGCTTTTGGCTCTGATTTTACCTAATGTTAGGCTCTCTGAATAAAGAAAGATAGCATTAACAAAGAGTCAATATCCAAACTGAGGTGCACTTCTGACATTGTAAACAGTTTTTAGTTGCTAATGAGCCCTTATAAGTCAGTGATCTGACTCTTACAGGCTGATGATTTTCTCATGTAATGTGCCTATTTTTGAGTGGGTCAATTTGGACTCAGACTAACAAGACAAAAAAGCTCAAGAAAACCTTGCTTGTCACTCAGACATGAATCATAGTGTGTGGCCCTATAGCATCACAACTTTACTGCTGCTGAAGAAAATTTGCCAGCTTTTTAAAGAATCTGAATTTATATACCCTAATTTCCTGGATGTGATTCTAAGCTGAAACCTAGTAATGTCTGTCACACGCTGTTTTGGCCTCAGCACAGGCTAAGTTGAACTAAAAGCAAGCATCAGCTTAATGAATAGAACTAAAATTCTAAGACTGTTGCAAATTTAAAATTCCCCTCTGTGGGCACATAAACTATGACAATATCCTTGTTGTTGACTGGACCATCGGTGCCATGTACAAATGCCCACAAAAAGGGCTCATTCTCTGGTGGGACTATGTAAAATTGAGCTCCTAGTCAACTCTATATTTCTGACACTGCTTGTATTTCTATTTCTGATCTGGACTAGAATCTGGAAGTTGGTAGAAAGGGAATCTTCAATCCCCTTTACAGGGAATCTTGACCTCCTGAGGGATGCCTCACAAACTGTTGTTGACTTGCGTTTAGCTTTCTGGATCAGTTGTAGATTGCAATGATGAACTGATAGCTTCAGTCTATTTTCTGTATCTTTCTCCTGGTACACACACATCAGTAAGGAAATTTGACTACTAAATACAACCGTCGCCAGAAAAGTGTGATTGTTTATAGAATGCTCACTAGGTAAATGGTTATAATAAAAGGTAGGGAAAGTTATGTAAACTAATTTTATTTTTTTTTTAACTTCAGGATTTTATCCTAACCAGTTCCTAAACATGATGCATCTTTCTGATTAAGTTGTACCGAAATATTTTTTTCTAAGAAAATAGTTTTGCTCATCTTGTATGAAAGTTTTCCAGATGAAACATCTCAGTGAGATTGGGAACTAATTGAAAAAGTGTGAAGTTATAATTGCTAAAAAGAACAGACTGACTTTATAACAACAAGGAAAAACAAAATCTTTGCACCAGGGCAGGCGTGGAGAAGTGGAAAGGCAATGATCTTTGTTTGTCAAAGCTATTACTGGAAGCTTTCTCTACTCCTGAGGAAAAAGAAAAAAAAATCCCGAGTGTTGACTTTCCATGCTGCTCTGAGCATTTTGAATGTAACCTACCGCTGAGCCTATGATCACACCTGACTCTGAGACAGCAGGGGGTAGCCCCAGCACTTTCCACACAGAACATCCCCAGATGCTTCCACATCTGAAAGGAAGGTGAACTGGTGTCAGGGACAAGTGAAATGTTTAGAACTAACTGCCTCAGGTGGTCCTTCTGAAAGCAAGGACTAAACTGAGCGAAGTGAACTGAGAATCCCAGGGTGATAGGCTCCACGGTGAGAAACCACATCAGGGGCCCTGTTAAATTTACTGCCTGACTAATGTTATCCCTCTGGAGGAACCCTAACAATTGTAAACTCTGTCATTATGGCGTACCATGTTCCTTCTGGGATTGTGTTTCTCGTGTGTGTATCTATCCTAAGTATCATGATACTGCTTCAGTCCTGGAAGGCATTCATATCAGCTTCAACTTACTGGCCAGAGTTAGGCTGTGCCTGAATTCTTGCCTTGAGCCAGGGGGAAAAAAACATCATGCAGAAGCTGAAGAAGGCAGTCTCCTAGCTTTTAAAAATAGACTTTTATGGTTAGTGGAATTTGTTTCAACTGAATAAATCTATGACACCTAATGTTCCTATGTGAGCTCAACACTTCGGTTTGGTCTCCTTTTGCTACCTGGAGTCTTCCTGCTCATAGTTTTGCAGTAAACATTCCAGATGGCAAGGGGTAGACCTTGCAGGTGGATTCTTGGAAGTTCTCATCTGGTTTCCTCTGGACTTTACTCCATATGCCTTTTTCCCTTTGCTGATTTTTCCTGATGCCTATATTTGTTTACAAGGGCTTTCATAAGAAAATACCACAGTCTGGGTGGATTAAACAACAGAAATTTATTTTCTCATAGTTCTGGAAACTAGAAACATGAGATTAAGATGTTAACAGGTCTGGTTTCTCCTGAGGCCTCTCTCATTGGCTTACAGATGTCCACCTTCCTGCTGTGTCCTTGTGTGACTGTTTCTCTGTGTATACATGTCCCAAGTGTCTCTTTTGTGACCATTTTTGTTTTTTATAAAGACAGCAGTCATATTGGACTAGGGCCTGCCCTAATAGCCTCATTTTCACTTAAGCACCTCTTTAATGACCCTACTTCTAAATGCCATAACATTCTGAGTAGCGGAGGTTAAGGCTTCAAAATACAAATCTGAGTTGGTGGGGGGACACAACTCAGCCCATAACAGTGCCCTTTGGCAGTAATAAATTATAGCCGTGAATATAACTCTTTGCTGGGTTCTGTGAGTTCTCTTAGTGAAAAATCAAACCTAGCTAATCATTTTTTTGTAAATGTCCTACGTGGGCTTGGTATTTACAAAAAAGCGTTCTTCAATTTTGGGATGCAGCATTCTGTATGTAAATTGTGTTCAGTTTGTTAATTACATTTTTTTCATGATACTTTTTTTATGCAACCCTTTTTGGCTTTTTAATTTTAATTTGTTTCTACTGATTTTCTAGCATGTTTTCATTCCTCTTATCATGACTTGTTATTTTGCATTGTGTATCAGGCATTTAGTTTACAATTTTTTGTAGCAATTCTTTGCAGAAAAGAAAATTTACTTTTTGTCTGGCAAAGTGCCTGGAGACACTAGCAATCTGAAATAAATTAATCCAATTTTAAGTTTTAAAATTATTTGAATTGCTTTACAATCTCTGGAAAGGCTGAACTATTTCCAACTAATCTTTAATCCCAGGATGTACGTTTCACAAATTCAACATACAGTTTATCATCCAAGCAACACAAGGTTGTCAATTGCTTGGATATATGTCCCAGCCATTGAACTTCCTTTACTCGATTAATTAATCTCCAAGGAAAAAGTTTCTCAGACTTACTTCTTTGGATTTCCCTTTTACCCTGGATCTTGTTTTAGGAATGCTTCACTAACTCGTAAGCTCTCAGGGTACGCTTTTACATTTTATACAGCACTGTTGATCATGCTCAGTGAGTAGATAATTTAAAACTACATGTGGTCCATGAGTTATGATGGTTTCACTTAGGATTTTTCAAATTTACAGTAATGTGAAAGTGATACACACATTCAGTCGAATCTGTACAAGTACCCATACAACCATTCTGTTTTCACTTTAGTACAGTATGTAATAAATTACATGAGATAGTAACACTTTATTATAAAATACTCATTGTGTGAGATAACTTTGCCCAACTCTAGGCTACTGTAAGTGTTCTGAGCTCATTTAAGGTAAGCTAGTCTAAGCAACGGTGTTTGGTAGGTTCGGTGCATTAAACGCATTTTTGGCATATGGTATTTTCAACTTACTATTGGTTTATTGGGATGTCACCCCATCATAAGAGCCATCTGTAGCATAGAATTGGAGGTCTTCTCTATCCTTAATTTATTAATTGTCAGATAATATTATCCCTTTATTTACTTTAAAGATCTATGAGAAGGGTCAAATTAGACATTTGGGAAAGCCTTTTGAGAGTTCTCTTGTTTACAGCAATGTGTGTTCATATTCCTTTCCTCATTTGATCTGCCCAAGTTAAAGAAATTAATCTTCTAGAGGAAGCCTTTTTTATTTTCAAAAAAACCTCATTTTGAGTAAATGAAACATTTATCTACCACAGAAACACTGTGCTGTTACAAAGAGCTGTTTTAGCTTGATTTACTAAAAGATTTCTCATCTGATCTGAGATCTATGTCTTCTTGGAAGATTAAGTCAAGCTTTTTGTCTTTCTGGAAGATGACTATAATCTGTTTCTTTCTTAATAAATATCACCATATATGTTCTAATATATTTTATGTGACTATTACATAAAGTATATTTTATGTGAATATTTATACTCTGTAGTCATCTTCTAAGAAGAAACCATAATGTTTATACATAGAAAACTATAGAGGCTGCTATGACAATCAGCATGTTCATACAGACATTTGCATCCAATGTGTGTTCCAAATATTCTTAAGTGCCTTCTAAACTGGAAGTTACAAAAAGAAGAAAGAATTAATAATAATAAAAAGTACTCAGCAGTGGTAATAAGGTGTTTTGAAGGAGATGTAGAAAAGACCAAGTACACAATTTTGAAATAATGCATTTCCAAAAGGACCTCTGCTACCAATAATAAGCATTAAGTTGGGAGAACCCTAGGCCTCTCCTTGGCTAGCTTAGTTTCTCTTAAGCTTTAGCACCTCTTCTAAATAACCAAACCCATTGTTAAATTATGTTTTCACTGAACTGTATTTAACAGAGTAACATAATATAATGCTAATGAAGATAAAAGAGATCCTGAAGTTCCCAAGCACAGTAGAGGTATATACTCCTTTCTGTAGTGATGACGGACAACTGAAAAATGTTTGTGAAGCCATATTTGTTGATAGAGTGATATTATAATACAATGAAGAAGATTGTTCCTTAAGGGAATCATGTAGGAAGGCCATTGCTAATGGATATAATTATCATCTGAAGATACGTAAATTTGAACTTTTATATATTGGAAATTTTTATAAAGGATTATTGTTCCATTGTGCTCATAGTAATATGAGGGTGCGTGAAAGAAAAGTGGAGTTCTCATTGAATATCTATGACTTCTGACTGTTTATCATCTGTTTCCTCTTCAATAGTAATGAAATCCCATTTTTTCCTCCATTTGGAAAACTACTCTTTGCTCATTGTACTGTCTTTACTATCCCTTCTTGAAAAAAAAAAAAAAAAGCAGGTGATCCACTTGGCCAGTCAGCCTCTCCTTTTTGGGAATTTGAATCTTGAGAAGAATGATAAGAATAACAAAATGGTTGGAACTAATTTATCCCAATAATAGTAAACCTGAAAGGCCTTGTCTGTCTACTATCCTGGTCTGGAAGACTAATGGGGTCTTTCAGGTTTGGCTATATTTCTTTTCTTTATTAGAGTCATGCCCCATCCTTCAAGTAACCTTGCCCCTTTCTTGTTTTAGTTAAATAAGAATTGTTTTCTGTTGCTTGCTAAAAAAAAAAAAAAAAAAAAAAAGGCATAAATAACATAGGCACAAAATTGCCTAACCAACTGGTGATTTTCATACAGTAAACACATGAAATAATAGGTAATGACTGGATTACTTGCCAAGGCTCATTTGTAAGTCTTTACCAGTCTGTCTACTTTTGCTGAACTTACCTACTGCAGTGGTTCTAAAACCTAGCTTAATATTAGAATCACTGAACTGTCAAACCACAGTTATTGCCAAGAATTCAGACACTTGGTCATGACAATAAGTCACAAAAATTTGTTGTTTGCTTGTTTTTTGTTTTAACTCTGCAGTTTTAAGAAGCCTCCAAGCCTAGAAACAGATGCACCCAGATGATGTTTAATCAAATGTCTGTGCAGTCATGATCCAGTCAAGTAGGTATATACATTTAACCATCACAGTGTCCAGTTATTAAAAATATACATTTGATAGATTATTCACTTCCTGTCAAAAAAAGAAACACATCTATTAATCCCCTCCCATTATCCAAATGCATAATTATATCATTCCTCAGCCATAGAGTATACTATGTTAAAATTTACTTTTTTTTCAAAACCTTTACAGGTTTGTTTTTCATAAATTGTTTAATGTTTTCTCCAACAAAATTTGAATATTTTATTTGTATATCTTGTTCTTTGTCCTATTTATTTTCTGTTTGAATTCAGTTTCCAACATGTTGTTACAGGTTTTCATTCCGTTTCTATAGCTGTTATTCTTTTTTTTTATAGTGTCAAATTTATTTCACATTCAAGAGGCACAGGTGCAGGTTTGTTACTGGGTATGTTGCATGATGGTGAAGTTTGGGGTATAATTGATTCTGTCGCTGAGCATAGTACCCAATAGTTAGTTTTTCAACCTTTTCCCTCATCTTTTCCTCCTGCCTAGTAGTCCCCAGTTTCTATGGTTACCATCTTTATGTCCATCAGCACCCAATCCTTAGCACCCACTTATAAGTGAGAAAGAACATGTAGCATTTGATTTTCTGTTCCTGTGTTAATTTACATAGGATAATAGCCTCCAGCTGCACCCATGTTACTGCAAAATACATGATTTTCTTCTGTGTTTTTGGCTGCATAGTATTCCATGGTGTATATGTACCACATTTTCTTTATCCAGTCCACGTTAATGAGCACCTAGGTTGATTCCAGCCATTGCTTTTGTGAATAGTGTTGCAATAAAAATAAGAGTGCACATGTGTCTTTTTGGTAGAACAATTTATTTACTTCTGGACATATACCTAGTAATGGGATTTCTGGGTCAAATTGTAGTTCTGTTTTCAGTTCTTTGAGAAATCTTCACTTTCCACAGTAGCTGAACTAATTTACATCCCACCAACAGTGTATAAATGTTCCCTTTTCTAGGTAGCCACTCCAGCATCTGTTGGGTTTTGACTTTTTAATAATAGTCATTCTAATTTATGCAAGATGGTATCTCATTGTGGTTTGATTTGCATCTCTGATGATTAGTGATGTTGAGTATTTATTTAATACGTTTGCTGCTTGTGTGTCTTCTTCTGAGAAGTGTCTGTTCATATCTTTTGCCTGTTTTTAATGGAGTTATTTGTTTTTTGCTTGTTGAATTGTTTCAGCTCTTTATAGATTCTAGATAGTAAACCTCTGTCAAATGCATGATTTCTGAATATTTCTCCCATTCTGTAGGTTGTATGTTTACTCTGTTGATATTTTAATCAAACTAAATCAGATGCTATTTAGTTTAATTAGGTCCCACTTTTCAATTTTTGTTTTCGTTGCAATTGCTTTTGAGAACTTAGTCACAAATTTTTTTCCAGGGCTAATGTCCAGAATGGTGTTTCCTAGGTTTTCTTCTAGAATTCTTATGGTTTGAGGTTTTCCATTTAAATAATTAATCCATCTTAAGATAATTTTTGTCTATGGTAGAAAGGAGACACCTAGTTTCATTCTTCTGCATATGGCTAGCCAGCTATCGCAGCACCATTTATTGAATAGGGATTCCTTTCCTCTTTGCTTTTTTTAACTGAGTTTTTCAAAGATCAGATGGTTGTAGGCATGCACCTTTATTTCTGGCTTCTCTATTCTGTTCCACTAGTACATGTGTTTGTTTTTGTACTGGTATGATGCTATTTTGGTTCCTGTAGCCTTATGGTATAATTTGAAGGTGGGTAACATGATGCTTCAAGCTTTGTTCCTTTTGCTTAGGATTGCTTTGGCAATTCAGGCTCTTTTTTGGTTCCATACAAATTTTAGGATAGTTTTTGCTAGATCTGTGAAAAATGACGTTGGTAGCTTGATAGAAATAGCATTGAATTTGTAGATTGCTTTGGACAGTATGGCCATTTTAACAACATTGATTCTTCCGATCTATGAGCATAGAATGTTTTTACATTTGATTATGTATTCTATTATTTCCTTGAGCACTGTTTTGTAATTCTCCTTATAGAGGTCTTTCACTTTATTGATTAGATGTATTCTTAGGTGGGGTTTTTTGGTATCTATTGTAAATGTAATTGCATCCTTGATTTCACTCTCAGATTGAATGTTATCAATGTGTAGAAATGTACTGATTTTTGTACACTGACTTTATATCTTGACAGTTTACTGAAGATATGTATCAGTACCAGGAGCCTTCAGGCAGGGTCTTTAGAGTTTTATAGGTATAGAATCACATTGTCCACGAATAGGGATAATTTGACTTCTTCTTTTCCTATTTGGATGGCTTTTATTTCATCATTTTGCCTGATTGCTGTGGCTAGGAATTCCAGTACTATGTTGAATAGGAGTGGTGAAAGCAGGCATCCTTGTCTTGTTCCAATTTTCAAGGGGAATGGTTGCAGCTTTTGCCTGTTCAGTATAATGTTGCCTGTGCTTTTGCCATAGACAGCTCTTATTATTTTGAGGCATGTTCCTTCACTGCCTAGTTTGTTGAAGGTTTATATTAAGAAGAGATGTTTAATTTTATTGAAAGCATTTTCTACATGTATTTAGATGATCATACGCTTTTTGTTTTTAATTCTGTTAATGTGGTGAATCACATTTATTGATTTGCTTATTTTGAACTAGCCTTGCATCCCAGGAATAAAGCCTATTTAATCATGAGGAAATAATCTTTTTATGTGCTGCTAAGTTTAGTATGCTAGAATTTCGTTGAGGATTTTTGTATATATTTTCATCAAGGGTATTGGCTTTTAGTTTTCTTTTTTCATTGTGTCTTTTCCAGATTTTGATATTAGAGTAACACTGGCTTTGTAGAATGAGTCACGGGGGAGTTTCTTCTTCTCCAAGATTTGGAATAGTTTCAGTAGAATAGATAACAGCTCTTCTTTGAACATCTGGTAGAATTTGGCTATAAATCCATCTGATCCAGGGCTTATTTTGTTGGTAGATTTTTAATCACTTATTCAATTTCAGAACTCAATAGTGATCCATTCAGGGTTTTATTCTTCCTCATTCAAACTTGTGAGATTGTGTGTTTCCAGCAATTTGTCCACTTCCTCTAGATTTTCTAGTTGATGTGCATAGAGGTATTCATAATAGTCTTTGAGGATGTTTTATATTTCTGTGGAATCAGTTGTAATGTCACCTTCATTATTTTTAATTGTGCTTATTTGGATTTTCTCTCTTTTTAATTTGTTAATCTAACTTTTAATCTATCAATCCTGTTCATCCTTTTGAATAACTAACTTTTGGTTTCACTGATTCTTTGTATAGATCTATGGTCTAAATTTCTTTCAGTTCTGCTCTTATTTATTTCTTCTGCTAGCTTTGAAATTAGTTTTTTTTTATTTTTATAGTTCCTCTAGATGTGATTTGAAATTGTTAATTGGAGATCTTTCTGACTTTTTGAGGTAGATGTTTAGTGCTAGAAACTTTCTTCTTAACACTGCTTTTGCTGCATCCTACAGATTTTGGTATATTTTGTCTCTATTTTTATTTCAAATAATTTTATATTTTTGCCTTATTTTTGTTGTTTACCCCCAAATCACACAGGAGCAAGTTGCTTAATTTCCATGTAATTGGTAGTTTTGAGTGATCTTCTTGGTATTGATTTCTACTTTTATTCCGCTGTTCTGAAGCTATGATTGGTATGATTTTGATTTTTTATAATTTATTGAGACTTGCTTTATGGCCAAGCATGTGGTTATTCTTGAAATGTGTTCCCTGTGCAGAGGAGAAGAATGTAAATTCCATGGTTGATGAGTACAGTGTTTTGTAACACATCAGTTCAATTAGTCAAGTGTCAAATTTAAGTCCAGAATTTCTTTGTTAGTTTTTTGCCTCAGTGATCTGTCTAATGCTTTTAGCGGAGTGTTGAAGTCTCCCCTATTCAACTGTGTGACTGTTTAGGTCTTTTTGTTGGCCTCAAAGTGCTTGTTTTATGAATCTGGGTGCTCCAATGTTGAATGTGTATATTACTAAGAATAGTTAAGTTTTCTTGTTGAATTGAACCCGTTATCATTTTGTAATGCTCTTCTTTGCCCTTCATTACTGTTACTGGTTTAAGGTCTGTTTTCTTCTGATATAAGAATAGCAATCCCTGTTCTTTTTTGATTTCCATTTATGTGAGATATCTTTCTCCAACCCTTTTTGTTGAGCCTATGGATGTTATTAAATGTGAAATAAGTCTCTTGAAGACAGCAGATCAACCGGTCTTGTTTTTTTGTTGTCATTTTTTGTTTGCTTGTTTGTTTGTTTTTTTAGACGGAGTCTCGCTCTGTCGCCCAGGCTTGAGTGCAGTGGTGCAATCTCGGCTCACTGCAAGCTCCGCCTTCTGGGTTCACACCATTCTCCTGCCTCAGCCTCCCGAGTAGCTGGGACGACATGCACGCGCCACCATGCCCAGCTAATTTTTTTGTATTTTCAGCAGAGATGTGGTTTCACTGTGTTAGCCAGGATGGTCTCGATGTCCTGACCTCATGATCTGCCCGCCTTGGCCTCCCAAAGTGCTGGGAATACAGGTGTGAGCCACTGCACCCAGCCCTGGTCTTGTTTTTTAATCCAACATGCAACTCTGTGACTTTTAAGTGGGGTATTTAGATTATGTACGTTCAAGGTTAATATGTATATGTGAGGTTATAATCCTATAATGAGGTTGTTTGCTGGTTGCTTCATAGTTTCTATTGTGTTGTTGCTTCATAGGGTCTGTGGGATATGCACTTAAGTGTGTTTCTATGGTAGCAGGTATCTCTATTTTGTTTCCATGGGGAGAACTCCCTTTAGGATCTCTTGTAAGGCTGGTCAAGTGATGGCAAATTCCATTAGCATGTTCACGCCTGGAAAATATTTCATTTCTCCTTCACTTATTTTTTTCTTTTTTCTTTTCCCTTTTTTTTTTTTTTTTTTTTTTTTTTGGAGACAGGGTCTCTAGAGTGAGCTCTGTCACTCAGGCTGGAGTGAAGTGGCATGATCTTGGCTCACTGCAGCCTTACCTACTGGGTACAAGTGATTCTCTTGCCTCAGCCACCTGAGTAGCTGAGATTACAGATCTGTGCCACAATGCCTGGCTAATTTTTGTATTTTTAGTAGAGATGGGGTTTCACCATGTTACCCAGGCTGGTCTTGAACTTCTGAGCTCAAACAATCTGCTGGCCTTGGCTTCTAAAAGTGTTGGGATTACAGGCATGAGCCACTGTGCCTGGCCTCTCCTTCACTTATGAAGCTTAGTTTGATGGGATATGAAATTCTCGGTTGGGATTTATTTTCTTTAAAAATGCTGGAAATAGGCCCCAATTTCTCCTGGCCAGTAAAGTTTCTCCTGAGAAGTTCTCTGTTAGCCTGATGGGGTTCCCTTGGTACAGATATGAATTTTTTCTCTACCTGCCTTTAAGGTTTTTTTCTTCAGTG
This sequence comes from Homo sapiens, assembly GCF_000001405.40. Lineage (NCBI taxonomy): Eukaryota > Metazoa > Chordata > Mammalia > Primates > Hominidae > Homo > Homo sapiens. Next base: position 116,509,329 of record NC_000002.12, read on the forward strand.
TGGACCTTGGAAAGTCTGGTAACTATATACTTTGGTGATGTTCATTTTATATAGTATCTCACTGTTGCTCTCTGGATTTCTTGTATCTGTATGTCTATCTCTGTAGCAAGATTAGGGAAATATTTTTGAATTATTCTCACAAATATATTTTTCAGGTTTTTTTTTTTAACTTTTTTTCTTTCTGAAGAATGCCAATAATTTGTAGGTTTGGTCACTTTGCATAATCCCATATTTCTTTAAATATGGGATATATTTAAATATTTTTTCTTTATTTTTGTGTGACTGGGTTAGTTTGAAAAACTGGTCTTCAAGATCTGAAATTATTTCTCTTCTTGATCCAGTATGTTGATAAAGCTTTCAATTATATTTTAAAATTCCTTAAATGAGTTTTTCTATTCTAGAAGCTATACTTGATTTTTTTTTTTAATGTTAATCTCATCCTTCATTTCCTGGATAGATTTAGAAGTTTCATAGTGTTGATTCTCAACCTTGTACTGGATGTCATTGAGCTTCCCTGAAATCCCTGCTTTGAGTTCTTTATCTGGACCTGCATTTCCATTTTGGTTAGGAACTATTTCCTAACCAAAATCATTTCTGCATTTCCATTTTGGTTAGGAATTATTGCTGGAGAGCTAGTGTGTTATTTTGGTGATGTCACTGCATTCATATTTTTCATGGTGGCAGACTGTTTACACTGGTTCCTTCTTATCTGGAAATGCTGGCACTTCTATTTTTTGAAATTATTTTCATGTCAGTAGGAATGTTTCTTTTTCTTTCTCTATAGTATTGTTTTCTTTCCCTTCCTCTTTCCCCCTTTCCATAGGATTTGTGACTATAGAGAATGTTGGGTAGGGCCTTTTACCTTTGCTTTCATAGCCCTATGCACTTCCTTTAGTAGGTTTTAAATTCGGCTGTGCAGTTTGAACTACAAACCAGTAGATGGCATCTTTGGGTAAAAGCCACCTTCAGGCAAAGAGGATGGGTATACACTTGATCTTTGTTTACTGAGAGAGACTCTCTGTTGCCTCAGGCAATTGGCTGATTTATGGAGTACACAGTAGTTTGAGCTCATGGTCAGCCCCAAGAGGGCCACATGAGTGGGACTGGACTGTGCAGGTTTGCCTACAGATCCCCCAGTGGCAGACACAAGCACCAGCACCAGGAAGAATCTAGTGGGCAGCCATCAAAGACCCAGAAGTGTGCCTGGACATGAAGATGGGAAATCTCCTTGGCCCGAAGTTCTCTACATGAGGATATGGGCAGCCTAAACTTCTAATCCAGGAGAGCAGGTGCCAAATGCTGGGAGATCTGCTCCGGCATTGAGCAGAGAGAAACCCCTGCACCAGGATCTCTGCATAGGCAGGGATGGGTGGCAACTCAGGCTGCTAGTCCATGCAAATCAGTGCTCTAAATGCCTGGAGATCTGCCTGTGTGGGAAGTGAAGAGGGCCCCATTAAATGAGGATCTCTGAATAGGAAGGGTGAGGTGGCTTAGGCTACTGATCCAGGCAAGGGGGTGTTCCAAAAATCTGGTGAATCTGCCTGGATGTGGAGTGGAGAGGGACATGCTACACCACAATCTATGTCCATAATGGGTGGGTTGGCTCAGGTGCTGATCCAGGCAATGGGGTGCTTCAAAAACTTGGTGATCTGCCTGGGTGTGGAGCATAGGAGGATCTGCTGCATCACGATCTACGTCCATGCAGGGTAGGGTGGCTTAGACTGCTGGTCCAGGCAAGTGGGTGATCCAAATGTCTGAATTTTTACCTGTGGGTGAAGCAGAGAGGGCCCTGCTACACCATGACCTCAGGGGAGCAGGCTAGGGCACTCAGCAATAACACAGGCATACTGGCTTTAGATTGCCAAGCTGACTTGGCTGCAACTCCCATCACCCAGGTGAAACTGGTTCTGTAGCAGCATTTCTTCCACCCCAGGCCTGCTGCTGAGGTGCTTTCCTCAGTTCTAGCTGTGAAGACTTCTACCCTGCTCCAGAGCCAATAGCTCCAATCACTGGCCCAAGACAAAAATGTCTGAACATCCACATTGCCAGGTCGCCTAGGAATAGCTGACTTTGCATGCTCCCAGGTTAAAAACAGCTTCCTGCTGTCAGTTCTGCACCTGGGAAAATGCCTAAAGCTTTTCCCAGTGCCTTTCAGTCACAGCATCTTCAAACCTCTCCCAAGCTACAGGGATTTGGAGAAATAAAATGCCGTCCCTTAGCCTCAGTGTCTTGGATCCGCAGTGGAAAGGTGAATCACAGAGGGAGGCTCCCTGACTCTTTCACATACTGGAGCTTCACTTATTTTTATCGGCTGGATGCCATCACAGGGGCTGTTTGCCCACACTCTCCTCCCTGTGATGTCGTGTGTCCTTCACAATTCCAGTGGATTCCTGTTTTTGAATTAAAGCTCACAGAGCTGATCTTCACGCACTATCTTGCTGTTTCCAAGTGGCCGAGGCACATGCTAAAAGCTTCTAATTTGCCATCTTGAAAAAAAAAAAACAAAAAACAAAACAGAACAAAAAAAATGGCTGTCATTCTTAATCCTTTTCCTATGACCTGGCCATTCCTTTTATTTCTCTCTTATGGTTGAACCCTATTTCCTGCTTCCCTTGCATTTCACTTTGTTGATTAAAAACATCTTGAGAAAGATAGTTGGCAGGCCAAATGTTATTCTACTCTTACAATTAATTGATAGTCCAGGCATTAGTCTATTGTTCCATAGCTCCAGGGTTGCTATGTAAAAGATTGATACCATACACAACACTGCATCACTGCTTTATGTGAGACCGATTTTCTTCCTATTGAACATTTTATACTTTTAATTTTTTGGCACCAGAGTTCTGAAATTCTATGATGATATTCTTTGCTGTGGAGCTTTCATGTTTTCCTCTTTCTCAGCCTCTTTTTCCTTTTTTCCAATTAGAAAACACAAAGAATTAGTGCTGATTATCCAGCATTTTACAGTTCTGGGAAAATTTCTTGTGATATTTTATTGATGATTTCTCTCTTTCATTTTCTCTTATAAATGTCCTTTAGTTGGAACTCTTACATTAAATGTTCCATGTTTTTCTCCTCCTATTTTTAATTTATGGGTCCTAGATCTCTGGGGTATTTCTTCAACTTTATCCTACAGCTTTTTTTTTGCTTGTTTTTTCTCTATCTTATTTTTGTTTGTTTGTTTGTTTTTGAAGGCCTCTTTTAATTTTCTGAATATTGCTTGTTAATAGCTTTCTTTTTCTATCTAAATAGAGGGTAGGTGATTCAACTTGCCTGGCATATGAGTTTAGAATTTTTTTTATATCTCTGATAATATTATTCATGTCATTTGCATTTTTACTGCTAGATTATTTCTATTTTCTCAGTGTTCCTCCTTTCTATTTGCATTTTGTACCTCTCTTTATCATGTTAGTTGCTTTTCTCAAAAGTTTAGTGATCTCTGGTTGTCTACTACTGCCTAACAAATTATTCCAAACCTTAGTAGCTTAAAGCAGCAAACATTGTCTCAGTTTCTGTGGGTCAGAGTCCAAATTTGGGAGTAGACTGCCTAGTAGTGTTCCTCTCTTTGATTGATGTGCTTGTGCCTTTTTATTCTTTTGCTGCCATTTTAATATTTTGGTAAAAAGAGAAGATATGTGCAGTTATTTTATCAGCTATGCTGAACCGTAAGTCCTGTGTTTTTTTTTCCAGAAGCCCATCAGTAGTCTTTTTATTTGTTTGTGCCTTCACACTGAAAGGAGGAAAGCTTTATCCAGATATTGTGTTGGTCAGAAGTTAGCATGTATAGATTATCTTTTCTCTGCTTAATTCTACAAGAGTCCCAGTTGGTAAGTACAACATTTATTCCTATTTTCAAGCTTATGAGACATTTGACTACTGTAGTTTGGCTAGACTAATATATATATATATATATATATATATATATATATATATATACACACACACATATATATACACACACACATACACATATATATACATATATACACACATATATATATATATGTTATGCCCTCACTGCCCTGTTTCCCTGTTTTCCTTTTTTTTTTGAGATGGAGTCTTGCTCTGTCACCTAGGCTCGAGTGCAGTGGCACAATCTAGGCTCACTGTAACTTCCTCCCAGGTTCAAGAGATTCTCCTGCCTCAGCCTCCTGAGTAGCTGGGATTACAGGCATGTGCCACAACACCCAGTTAATTTTTATGTTTTTAGTAGAGACAAGGTTTTGCCATGTTGGGCAGGCTGGTCTCGAACTCCTGACCTCAGATGATCTGCCAGCCTTGGCCTCCCAAAGTGCTGGGATTACAAGTGTGAGCCACTGTTTCCAGCCTCAGTTTTCTAACACCAAGAATTAACACTGAATATTTTAAAAGCTACCCTTCTCAGAATACTACAAGGGCACATTATTTCTTTGCTTGTCAGAAAAACTCTTTTTAAGGAAGCAATGAACCATTACAGCTGGATGCAAAAGGAAGTTCTTATCCTGTTTTTGTTTTATGTCTTTGAGAGTAATGATCCATGAATGAGAACATATAGTAAAGTACTGATTAGGTAGAATGTGAGAACACCTAATATTCAAAAACAAATATCCAAATACAGGAGATATAATTGGTATATTCTGTTGGCACAGAGCTTGCAACTTTATTCCTAGAGCACATGTAAAGATACTGAATTATGCTGGTTATAAGTAATTATTTCAGATATGGACATTATATTGCTAAAAATAATGTAAATTGTTTGAAGATATAGATAATTTCTTACACAATATTTTCTATGTTTCCCAAAAGTACAGTATCCTACAGAACTTGGCAAGCATTATGTAAACACAAACATAATAGAGACTGACTTGAAATTCAGCCAGGCATGGTGGCTCATGCCTATTGTTCCAGCACTTTGCGAGGCTGAGGTGGTAGTATTGTTTGCATCCAGGAGTTTGAGACCAGCCTGCGCAACAAAGCGAGACCCTATCTCTACAAAATATTTTAAAAATTATCTGGGTGTGGTGGCATGCACCTGTAGTCTCAGCTACTCAGGAGGCTGAGGTGGGAGGCTCCCTTGAGCCCAAGAGTTTGAGGCTGCAGTGAGCTATGATTACACCACTACACTCTAGTTTGGGCAACAAAGTGAGACCCTGTGTTTTTTTGTTTTTTAAGAAATTCATCCCTTTTACATTACCAAAATGTAAAATATTCAAGTCTTGGGAAGGCACATTTACATGTTAGGAAATCACACATTCATAGTTCATGGCATCTTTTGAACACTTTTGGAAACAAGTGTCCAAATATTCATCCCTAGAAATCAACCTTTGAATTTAATCCTTCAAACTACCATGTATTCTTCCAACAATGAAAGAAAAAGGTTAAAACACTTTTTTTTCCCTATGACTCCTAACTGAAAGAATTGAGAGTTTTCATTAGGAATATAAAGAATTTATTATGTTTAAGGCCTATCATAGATCTGTGAATAGGTTGAGAAGGAACATTCTGAGGTTGATGAAGTAACACAGCACATTAGCAAAAAAAAAAAAATTCAATTAGTTATTAATACTTTGAAATTCTATCCACAATCAGCCCAAAGTAAAAGATTAATAAAAGTGAGTAAGGAATTCCACAGTTCTGTATATATAAAAGTAGCAGCAATCACACCCCATAACCTGTCTCATTCTATCCAATTTTATCAACTTTATTGAAGGCCTATCCATGCATCATAATGAAGAGCTTTTATGCACTAATCACCAATAAGAACCCAACTAATTCTCTAAAAATTACTGAATTACTGACTGTTCATTTTCAAAGGTGAGCAAAGCCATAGGAGACTAAGAGGTTTGCCAGTCTCATGTAAATCAGTTTAGTAAAGAAAACTCAGTGACTCTTTTTAAAGTAAAAATAAACTGAGTAAAATGAACCAATGTATGTAAAAGCTTTTCAGGGCTATTCTTCATCCAAATACCCAAAAATAATTGGCCACTGTCTCAAGTTTATCTACATATACCACATATTTGCCTCAAATTTCCCTCCTCAAAGGTAAAGGCAAATATCCAATGCCAATGCATCATATGACTAATTACAAACTCATTTGGTTAATTTTTTTTTCTGCTTGTTAATAATTATGTGTGAAAGTACACTTATTTTTCATGGATAAATAGTCTAACAATTATTTATATATTTTATTCTAAACCAGACTTTAAACATTGTTTATATTCTCGATGATTCCTCTAGGTAAGTATTATCCAAGTGATATATTCAAAATTTTCAGTGTTTCTTAAAAAGAGGTTTGAATGGTCAAATATTATATTAAATACTGTGTGTCTTACTGTCTACATAAGGATACTAAAGGCTCTGAGCAATTCTGCAATTAAGAAATAAGCTAACTTTAAACTCAATATAGCAGAACTATTTAGGAATGAGACACTGTTTCTCTTTTTTATTATTAATCCTACAGAATTAGTATTAACATTCTGTGGAGTCCTCTTTGAAAATACCTATTTCAGCTTAGAAAAGAATTGTTTTCTTTGCCTATATGAATAAAAGAAAGTGAACCAAGTATGTTAGGAAATCCAAACCACAGGAATAGGAACTTTTACAGACTGATTATGCTGAGTAGAGATCACATAATGCATGATCCATTTATCTAGCTACTTAGTCAAGGCCCTGCCCCTTATCAATGTTCTCACTACCATTGGTTCATGTCCCTCTAATCCTACTATATTATCCTAATGACCTCTTGCCTCCCTCAATGAGACAAGTTCAGTAAGCAATTGTTTATCTTCCTCTTAGTTATGATTAATGACTCTTGGAATTGGAGCATATTTATCCAGTAAGCAATACAAAGCAAGTTAAAGAAGAACCTCAGGCCCAAAATCAGTATACTGATTCTCCATGATACACTCACTTCAGCTTTTAAACATCATAGAATGTCTTAGTGACTAAGAAAATTGCATCTGACAAAATAGTTAAATCTCCAATATATTAAACTGGAAATACCAATGAAAATGCCAGATAAGCACAGCAATTTTTTTTCAACACTGATACTATTTTTTTTTCCTGAGATTTTGCTTTCCAGTGGGTTCTCTATTGAAAAAATGGCTATCCTCCTTGGAAGGTGATTGGTGAAGGAAAAACTTTAACAGGGACTCAGAACATATTATCATTGCTAGGATGCTGATTCTGTCAAACATGTCTGGAATGGGTTCAGTAATATTAACCAAAAAACCTCACAAAAGAACTACATTAAAAGAACTTACACTGTCTAAATTGTTACAATTTAAAATTAATAATGACATAAACAACTCATAATTAATACAAATAAAAATAAATCCAGTTCTCAGAAGGTCATGATTTCATAAAATCTGAAAGTGAAAAATTAACATAAGGTATACTATATTAATTACAATATAAAAGTAGGGAAGTGTTAATGTTTATGCATAAAGTTTTTTTTATTAAGTGTATGTTTGTTTATAAACTACTTAGATATATTTGCTTCTAACAGAGTTAGTAGAGAATGTTGGATGGGAATTCGGTGGAAGGGGTTGTTGCTTATGCAAATAATCCCAGAAGTGTTCATGATCATACCAAGAATAGGAGGGAAAATCCAGCTCCAAAGTCATTTGCAATATATGAGCAGCAAGAAAGTTCAACACTGTGTTGCAGGTAGATGAATCACCTACATGTTCTAAAGAGAGGATTTTACCATGTAGAATCTATGTTTCACTGGTATGAGAAAACTTTTGTAGGAATTATTAATTGGAATTAGATACAGATTAACACCTTATCTTTTTAATAATCTTTCAGAACAGATGACACATTGAATTATATAATACTAAGAAAAATCAGAGTGTGCATAGTTTGTAACGAAAAATTAAGTTAAAAACAGAATTTATATGAAAAAACAGACCAAGCTTGAAGTAACAGCTTTGTTTTCATGCATAAACTCTGTTATATCAATGGTTGATGTAACAAATTACACCAAACTGGTTGAAATTGCCTTTGGGGAATCAACTAGGTCTAATGATCCAACAAAAATATCAATTGGTTGATGATGCAGAACCAGTAATCACTTTCAGCTTGAGAATTTATTGTACATATTTTGGGTCTGTAAGTATTTAAAAATCACAGTAAGGTACCAAAGTTAGCAATATTATAAACATTGGGACATATAAAATATAATAGAAATGATGATGACATGGTTTTGAGATTTTAAAATAGCTTTAAGCTTTCCCGTATCCTGTCTGACATGTAAAAATCTAGGAAGTTGCCACTCCATCCTAACAACAAGCAAAAAGCAGAACAAACTAAAATATCCACATTTTGTATGGATATTTTGTGGATATTGTGAAGTCACAGAGCAAACTGCTGTCCACAACATTGAAGGGACAGACAAACAGTACAGAGAATCACAATTTACCAGAGCAAAAATTCACAAGCAGCAACCTTTGTAGGAACCAAGGCTGAGGTAGAAAAAATTGAACTGTAATTGAATTGCAAGAGGCTCAGTGTGGACAAGTCTGAGAGATAAAGATTGCAGGGTAAACGGTCATAGAAGGGCCTCCATGCTTGTGCAAATTTTACCTCTAGGAGCTAGACCATGTTCTCACAATGGATATGAGAGAAAAATTCCCTTATGCTTCCAGCAAAAGGAGGGGTAAAGGGACCATTTTAAAATACAACAGACCATTTTGTTCTTTTTAACTAGGTCTGCCTTCAGGAGCAACTGTTTCATGAGCCTAACCTGCTGGGGTTTTATCAGAGCATAACCTTCCTAGGGGATGGGAAACATCCAGCTCTAGCCAGCTCTAGGCATACAATCCAACCAAAGCAGGGGAGGAGTCCTGAGAAGCAAGTGTGAAATTCACAGTCCAGAGCTACAGGCTCACTGAAAGACTGAAACTCACCTGTAAGACAATAGGACATTTCCCCTTCCCCCACAACCTATCACCACATTACTAATTACTAAAAGCTTATTTAGAACAGTTTATTTGCCTAGTACAGCGTGTCTGGCTAAAGAAAAAGTTACAAGACATACTGCTATAGTTTGGGTATCTGTCCTCACCAAATTTCATGTTGACATTTAAACCCCCATGTGGTAGTTTTGAAATGTGGGGCCTAATGGACAACATCTGGGTCATGGGGCTGGATCCCTTACGAATAGATTAATGCCCTCCCTTGGGGGTGAATGAATATACTCTATTAGTTCCTATGAGAGCTGGTTGTTAAAAATCCTAGCACCTCTTCCCTTTCTTTTTGGCTTTACCTTATGCCATGTGATCTCTGTACACACCGGGACCTTTTTGCCTCCTTTCATGAGTGGCAGCAGCCTTATGCCCTCACCACAAGTAGATGCTGGTGCTGTGCTACTGGTACAGCCTGCGGAATCATGAGCCAAATAAACATCTTTTCTTCACAAATTAGCCACTCTCAGGTTCTTTTTATCAACACAAAATGGACAAAGACATATACTAAAAGGCAAGAAACACAGTTTGAAGAAACAGAGCAACCTTCAAAACTAGATTCAGATATGGCAGGGATGCCGGAATTATCAGACAAGAAATTGAAAACAACTATGATTAATATGCTAAGGTCGGTAATGGATAATGTCAATAGCATGTAAAAACAGATAGACAAAGTGAGCAGAGAGATGAATTTCTAAGAAAGAACCAAAGAGAAATGTTAGAGATAAAAAATACTGAAAGAAATGAAAAATTTATTTTAGGAGCTTTCTTATTAGACTGGATGTAGCTGAGAAACTAATATCTGAGCTTGAAGATACCTCAATAGAAACCTCCAAAACTGAAGAGAAAATAAATAAAAGACTAAAAAAAAAAAACAGAAAAAAATACAGAGCCAAATATTCAAGAAATGTGGGACAATGATAAAAGGTATAACATACACAAAATAGGAATATAGAAGGAGAATAAAGGGAGAAAGAAACAGGAAGGATATTTAAAACAGTAATGACTGAGCATTATCTCCAAATGAATATCAGACACCGAGCTCAGAGAACACCACTCAAGACAAATAGCAGAAAAACTACATCTGGGAACGTCATTTGCAAACTACAGAAAATTAAAGATGAAGAAAAAGTCCTGAAAGAAGCTGGGGATGGGTGTGGTGGTGGGCGGAGGGGAAACACCTTAACTACAGGGGAGCAAAAATTAGAATGATATCCAACTTCTCAAAAACCATGCATGCAAGAAGACAGTGGAGTGAAATATTTAAAACATTTGGAGAAAATAAAACCACTGACCTAGAATTCTGTACCCTGAAAAATTGTTTTTCAAAAGTAAAGAAGAAATACAGACTTTCAAAGACAGCCAAAACATGAGTGAATTTCTCACCAGTAGACCTGCTTTGTACAAAAAGTTAAAAGAAGTTTTTTCGAGTTAAAGAAAATTATATAGGTCAGAAACTCAGCTCTACATAAGGAAAGGAAGAACATCAGAGAATAAATAAGTGGATGTAAAATAACAATTTTTATCTTTCTTATTCTTAATTGATATAACAGGTAATAGTTCATTCAAAAATTAATAGCAAAAATGTATTAGATTTGCTGACCATGGTAGGGATGGTAGGGATTGGAATTATTTTGTCATTATAAGGTATTTGAACAACCTTTGAACTATGGTATAGTGTTAGTTGAAAGTGGACTGCGATTTGTTGTAAATGTATATTGTAAACATTAGGACAAACAGTAAAAAAAGTAAAGAAGTAGTAAAATTGCTATAGTAAAAAAGAAGAGAAAATTGAATCATGTAAAATCCTGTATTAAAATCACAACAAGCATAAAAACAGTGAAAGACAAAAACAGGAAGAAAGAACAAGGGAAACAAATAGGAAACAGAAACAAATATGATAGCTATTAATTCTATATCAATAATCACTTTGAATGTCAATGGTCTAAACATATCAATAAACAGATTTTCAGAGATGTCCAATGTCCAAAAACAAGACCCAATTATATGTTGCCTAGAAGAAACCCACTTTAAATATAAAGACACATATGGATCAAAAGTAAATGGATAGAGAGTAATAAACTATGCTAATAATAATCAAAAGAAAGCTATAGTAGATATTTTAATTTCACTCAGGACAAACTTCAAAGCAAGGAAACGTGTTCAGGTACATTTATAATTGGTACAGTTAAATGGTAATTCTCAGACAATGGTGAGAATGTAAATGGGTCATTTTTTTGTGGAAGCATATTTGAAAACATTTATCCATAGCTTACATTTCATCTCTCTTAAAATCTTGGTGAGAAACTATTATTTTTCCCCTAGTTTCACAGCATCCTCTAGTGACAGAATCAGCACTGTCCTTGAGTCTTTCAGCTCCATTTACCATGCAAATACTTTTCCTCCTGCCTGCCTTGTTCTCACAAATAACTTCAGATTTGCATTAGTGGCAGACTTCACAACTCCTTCTATGAAAGTACCTTTTAATTCATGTGTTTCTCAACCTCGCCAGCACCTGTTTGTGAGGTCTCTGAGCCCAAGCCTGCACATGTACATTCAGATGGCCTGAGGCAACTGAAGAACCACAGAAGAAGTGAAAATGGGCAGTTCTTGCCTTAACTGATGATATTACCTGGTGAAATTCCTTCTCCTGGACAATGAATCTCAGAAGCTCCCCCACTGAGCACCTTGTGAACCCACCTCCCCTGCCCACCAACGGACAAACCCCTTTGACTGTAATTTTCCACTACCTACCCAAATCCTCTAAAACTGCCGCACTCCATCTCCTTTTGCTGACTCCTTTTTCGGACTCAGCCCGCCTGCACGCAGGTGATTAAAAAGCTTTATTGCTCACACAAAGCCTTTTTGGTGTTCTCTTTACACAGACGCGTGTGACACTGTTATTCTTTGACTTTTTAATATTGTATTTCCTTTATTACATAATTAAAATACTATACCATGCAGCATTAAATATAATTATTTTACAATAGAAAAGCAAATCACACATAAAACGTTTATTCTTTAGAAATTGCTGGGCTAAAGTAAGGGTCATTTGTATGACAAAGCAGCACAGACTTCACAATAGCTTCTAAGAAACTACTGAGATATTGAAATAGAACAATTAGAAATTATTTCTTTTTTTAAAAAAGTTTATGTTCAAGGCTACATGTGTAGGTTTTTTATATAGGTAAACTCATGTCCTGGGGGTTTGATGTACAGATTATTTTACCACCCAGGTACTAAGCCTAGTACCCAGTAGTTATTTTTTCTGCTCCTCTCCCTCCTTTCAACCCCCACTCTCTGGCGTGCCCCAATGTCTGTTGTTCCCCTCATTGTGTGCATATGTTTTCATCATTTAGCTCCCATTTATAAGTGAGAACATGCAGTATTTGGTTTTCTGTTTCTGAGTTAGTTTGCTACAGATAATGGCCTCCAGCTCCATCCATGTCCCTGCAAAGGACATGATCTTGTTCTTTTTTATGGATGCATAGTATTTCATGGTGTATATGTTCCACATTTTCTTTAACCAGTCTTCCATTGATGGGCATGTTGGTTGATTCCATGTCTTTGCCAATGTAAATAGTGCTGCAAAGAACATAGGTGTGCATTTGTCTTATGATAGAAAAAAATTATATTTCTTTGGGTATCTACCCAGTAATGGGATTTCTGGATGAAATGGTAGTTCTGTTTTGCACTCTTTAACGAATTGCCACACTGCTTCCACAATAGTTGAACAAATTTACATTCTCACCAATGTATAAGTGTTCTTTTTTCTCCACAACTTAGCCAGTACCTATTACAATTTAGACTTTTTAGTAATAGCCATTCTGAATGGTGTGAGATGTTATCTCATCCTGGTTTTGATTTGCATTGCGCTAATTATCAGCAATATTGAGCTTTTCTTTTTTTTCAAGTGCTTATTGGCCACATATATGTCTTCTTTTGAAAAGTTTCTGTTCATGTACTTTGCCCACTTTTTAAGGAATTGCTTTTTCCTTGTAAATTTCTTTCAGCTCCTTATAGATGCTGGATATTAGCCCTTTGTCAGCTGCATAGTTTGCAAATATTTTCTCCCATTCTGTAGGTTGCCTGTTTACTCTATTGATAGTTTATTTTGCTATGTGAAAGTTTTTAGTTAAATTAGATTCAGTTTGTCAATTTTTGCTTTTGTTGAAATTGCTTTTGGCATCTTCATCATGATATATTTGCTAGTTTCTATGTCCAGAATGTTGTTGCCTAGGTTATCTTCCAGGGTTTTTACAGTTTTCGGTTTTACATTTTATATTTAAGTCTTTAATGCATCTTGAGATAATTTTGTGTATGGTGTAAATAAGGGGTCCAATTTCAATCTTCTGCATATAGTTATCCAGTTATCCCAGTACGATTTTTTGCATAGGGTGCCCTTTCCTCATTGCTTTTTTTTTTTTCGTCAGCTTCATCAAAAATCAATTGATGTAGGTGTGCAGCCTTATTTCTAGGCTCTGTATTCTGTTCCATTGGTCTATGTGTCTGTTTCTGTACTGGTACCATGCTGTTTTGTTTATTGCAGCCCTGTATTATAGTTCAAAATCAGTAGCGTGATGCCTCTAGCTTTGCTCTTTCTGCTTAGGATTGCCTTGGCTATTCGGGCTCCTTCTTGGTTTCATATGAATTTTAAAATAGTTTTTTCTTGGTCTGTGAAGAATGTTATTGGTAGTTTGATAGAAATAACATTGAATCTGTAAATTGCTTTGGGCAGTGTGGCCATTTTAACGATATTGATTCTTCCTATCCATGTGCATGGAATGTTTTTCTATTTGTTTGTGTCATCTCTGATTTCTTAAAGGATTGTTTTATAATTCTCATTATAGAGATTTTTTACCTCCATTGTTAGCTGTATTACTAGGTATTTTATTTTTTCTTTGTGACAGTTGTGAATGGATGTGTGTTCCTGATTTGGCTCTCAGCTTGGCTCTTTTTGGTGTATAGGAATGCTAGTAATATTTGTACATTGATTTTGTATCCTGAAATTTTGCTGAAGTGGTTGATTAGCCTGAAGAAGCTTTCATGATGACACTATAAGGTTTTCCAGATATAGATTTATGTCATCTACAAACAGGGATAGTTTGACCTTCTCTCTTCCTTTTTGGATGTCCTTTATGTCCTTCCTTTGCCTGAGTGCTCTGGCTAGGACTTGCAGTACTATGTTGAATAGGGGTACTTGGAGAGTACCTCTTTGTATTGTGCTGGTTTTCAGGGGGAATGCTTTTAGCTTTTGCCAATTCAGTATAATGCTGTCTGTGAATTTGTCATAGATGGCTCTTATTATTTTGAGGTATGTTCCTTCAATACCTGGTTTATTGAGAGTTTTTAACATGAAGGAATGTTGAATTTTATCAAAAGCCTTCTCTGTATCTATTGAGATAATCATGTGGTTTTTGTCTTTAGTTATGTTTATGTGATGAATCACATTTATTAATTTGCATATGTTGAACCATCCTTGCATCCCAGGAATAAAGCCTACTTGATCATGCTGGATTAACTTTTGGATGTGTTGTTGGATTTGGTTTGCGAGTATTCTGTTGAGGATTTTTGCGTCAGTGTTCTTCAAGGATATTGGCCTGAACAGAACAATAATGAGCTCCAAAATTGAATCAGTAATAAGTATCCTACCTACCAAAAAAAAAAAAAAAAAAAAAGCCCTGGACAGATTCACAGCCAAATTCTAGCAGATGTACAAAAAGCTGGTACCATTCCTACTGAAACTATTTCAAAAAATCGAGTAGGAGGAACTCCTCCCCAACTCATTCTACAAGGCCAGCATCATCCTGATACTCAAGCTGGCAGAGACACAACAAAAAAGACTATTTCTTTTGCTGCTGAGCACTTAGCTTTCTCTGTTTTTTTCTCAGTTTTTTTCTGGATGGAGACACCAAACCTAATAGTGGATAAAATACCTTTAAACACCCAGGCATATTAACAACTCACACTCTAAATCTAATGTCTAACATTTTCTCCATAAAATTAGATGTATGACAGAAAAGCTGGGTGCATTGTAGAGTATCTGCAATTCAGTATTTGATTTCTTTCAGGATTGGAGAGAGAAATATCAGTTTTTAAAATTGTTAATTGTTTCTATATAAAATTGCTGGTTTTTTCAATGTCTTAAGTTTTTGTTTTAAGACAATTCCTTATTTCAAATATGTCTGTGTAAATTGAATGCTGGATCTGTGGAAGAAGGGGATCCTTCTCAAACTTCCAAATAGAAATAAAAATGAATCTTCTCTGCCCTGCTGTCACTCTTCCAGGTTCTAGTTCCCAGAATTCCTTGCCTTTGCAGTTTAACTTCCAAGCATGTTTCTGTACCTTCATTGTGTGCCCCTTGGACCCATCCTTTATTGAGTGGCCAGAGTAACCTATTTCAAGAGTCAGGAATCATACCACCCCTTTGCAGAAGACTCTGCAGATGTGTTTCATCACCTGCAAACAAAAATGCTAACACAAATTTCTAACTCTACTTTAAACTGTTCCCTGTCTAGCTCTGGCTTCATAATATTACCCTATGCCTTACACTAAACATTCAACCCACTACTGAGCCATTTTTATCCCTCACACATAATGCAATGAAAGTCGTTGTACTTGCTTCTCAGGGTTGTTAGGAAATGATGTATCTAAAGAGCTTAGTGTGTGCCTCAAGGAAAACCCTCAAGAAAGTTAGCTTTTGAAAAGTAATTTTATAATGTTAATTCCACACATGACGTTTCTCATTATTTCCTCCCCTTGGGTACCCTTCTGCCTCCCAAGTCCCATTCTCTTCTGCTTATCTTTTATTAATCTTGTGAACTCTAACTTTTTCCTCAAAATACATCTCACAGGTCATCTCTTCCAAGAATAACCGCCTCGCCTTTGCATGTCACTCCAGGCTCCTTTTTATCATTACAAAATAGTTACCCTTGCTTAATTCTTTCTTTTCCATCTGTTTTTCCCATTCCTCTCCATTTGTCTTGAGGAAAATAATGAGGACTTACTCATTATTTTGCACTCTTAGAATTTAGCATAATAAACAGCAGCTAATAGGAACTTGTTTTTTTAAAAAAGGTAAGATATAAGAATGCTAAAGATAAATGCAAAGTCTGCACAAAGGAAAACTGAAAATTATTTCAACAATATTAACTTATCACATTATATTGATCGTTATGAATTTAGGATGGTAATTTTTTTGTGAATAAGTGTTTGTCTGTCCTGAAGCAGTGCAGGAATAAATGTCATAACCAAATATTGTAGTATCCTTTACATTGGCATACTTAAGGTTTGAGGTCTTACGCAAGATTACTTGCTGTTAATTAAATTAGGGTATAAGGAAGAAATGAATTCAAAAATTTCACAGAAAATTTTCTACTGAATGGAAAGAGTCAGAGAAATATAGTATAAATTTTTTAAAAATAATATTAATAAATAAAGTAATGACGTGTTTATACATCAAGTAATGGAAAAGCTCCCATTTAATCTCGGAAATCCACTAAAACTCATAAATAGGAAAGTATTTAAGCATATTTCTGACCTAGTCTCATCTGATTGCTTGACTTGCTACACTAGTACATTGGATATTGGTTAATTGCATAGTTTATCAATCTGCAAACTGTTTTGAAGTCCAGATGCTTTTTAGAACGTAATTATTCTAGATAAATACTGTTGCAGTTTTCATTTCAATTTTTGATCACATCACAGTAATACAACATTTTCTCATTACATTTCACTATAGATCATACACCGACATTATTTTCTAAACTTGCTTACCAAATGCTTCCTTCATGAAGTTTTCCCAGCAAAATGTACATTCAGTTAAAGTGGGAATTCTGAGACTTCTAAACTAGATGGCATCCCTCCTCATCAGAAGTTCTTTTTAAGCCATTTAAATCCATCTAGGTCAATGGGATTGAAAAAAATAAACAAACAACTTTCAGAATAGTGTTCTATGAAATTGACCTTTAAATGTTTTCTTTTCCCAAATAAAAATTATTTATCAAGACATTAAATATACACTTATAATTTTTCTTTCCATAAGGGTAATGTAGATGACTTTTTTCAGCAGTAGAAAACATGATGTATTTCTTGGAAAATATGGAGTGTTGCCTTGTAAATATAGGTAACCAGTCAAAAATTTTCTAAATGCCATTTAAAAAATAGCAATGTGTTAAATAATATATACATGAGTTTAAAATGGTGTTGCCACTAAATGTTACCTTTTGCCATTGTAACAATTGAATATACTCACATTAACAAATACATTTTTAAAGTAAAAAAACTATTCAATTCTCAATATTTATCAAAAATCTTAAAAAATGTACATAAAATTAACAACTATAAGAAATCTGCATTTTATTTTTGAAGAACACATTAAATCAGGATAAAATTGACAAGTTAGAAATAGAAAATATCTGGAAGACAAAAATAATGTTAAAATATGTGCCTTTGGTCCAAAGGTATATACATTTGCCCCTTGGCTGGCCTTCATTTTCCCACTCCTATTTTCTCATGGTATCTTATTTTTGCTCAGGCATACTCCCCTGACTATGCTGCTCATTTGCTTCAAGGAATGTTAATCTTCCTTCAAATCTAAAAGTCCATCCGGATTCACTTAGACCACTCAACACTTCTAATTATCAATCCCACAGTTAGTTAGCAATAGTCTAGTCCAGTCCAAACTGAATTTAAACATTTTACTTAGAATGCTGGGACAAAGATACTCTCCCTTCTTCTGGACACCAAAGAAATGAATGTGATCCCTGGAACTCCTGCAACCATTTTGGGACCGTGAGAAAAGCCATCCAGAGCAAAAGGTGACCCATGAAGGAGAGAATGCCTTGGAGAATTAGTAGAACTCTGATGAAACCCTAGTTGAAATCTACCCTGCCTCTGAACTGATTTTGTTATTTGAACTAATAACCTTCCTGTATTAGTTTGCTAGGGTTGCTGTAACAAAGTACCACAAACTGAGGTGCTTATAGGACAGAAATATATGGCCTCATGGTTCTGGAGGCTAGAAGTTTGAGATCAAGGTGCCAGCAAGGTTATTTTCTTCTGAAGTCTGTGGGAAAGAATCCGTTCCATGCCTCTTCTGTGGCTTCTAGTGGTTTTCGGGCAATCTTTGGTGTTCTTAGGCTTGTAGAAGCATTATCTTGATCTATGCCTTCTTCTTCACTTGGGATTATCCTTGCATGTGTGTCTCGGTGACCACATTTCCCCCTTTCATAAGGACACCAGTCATATTGAATAAAGGGCCCACCTTACTCTAGTATAACCTCATCTACATTTAAATAATTATAATTGCAATGGCTGTCCTGTAGCTTCTAGTGGTTTTCTGGCAATCTTTGGTGTTATTAGGCTTGTGTAAGCCTGGATTTTCTCTGCCATGAAAAATTACCACAAATTTGGTAACTTAAAATAGCAGAAATGTATTCTTTTTATATTGTTGGAGACCAGGAATCCAAAATCGATGAGCTGATTTGAAGAATCCATTCCATGCTTTTCTCCTAGCTTCCAGTTGCCCCGGCAATCCTTGTGTTCCTTGGCTTGTGGCTACCCTCCAATCTCTGCCTTCACCTTCACAGGCCCTTTCCCTCTGTATGACTCTGTGTTGTCTCTTCTTCTCTTATTATAATAAGCTATATTATTGATTTATCATTGGATTTAGGGCCTACCCTAATTCGGGGTGATCTTATTTGGAGATCTTTACCTTACTTATGTAGACAAAGATCATTAATCCAAATAAGGTCACATTCTGAGTAAATGTGGTCACACATCCAACCCACTGCTGTTGTCATAGAAAGGTATGAGTTGGGGAAGCCACATTAAATATAGAAAACATTTTCTCAACAGTACTGGCCAGAAATATTCATGTGTCTCTAGATACAAGGTGACTGAGAAGTGGACCCTCTGGCTTCTCAATAGCTTCCCAGGATGAGCTCTGGTGTAGAGTCTGAATTACATATGAAGCGCTGTGGTGGTCAGCTAGCCTTCATTACCATACCCTAAGAATGGGATTTAGCTACTCTTCTTTATAACAGGACATATATCCCAACAGTTCCCGTTTCTGTAACCAACATAAGCAATGATGAGTTAAAGTTGTTTAAAAAGACTAAGGCTGAGGGAAAGTAAAAGGGAAGTACCACCATATATAGTTTGTACAGACCACCTGGTCAGAGCTGGAGAATCTTCTGAGGAGCACCCGACTGGCACTTTGGCAGGTTTGTTGTAGAACTGTTCTTGGAAATGTCCTTTTGTGGACTGTCACACTTGTAACCATTATTTCCTCAAATGTACCTGTCACTTGAGGTTCTGATTAATTTATCAATTTTTAGTATTTTCTTCGAAAGCTTCTGGCTTCTAGACCTCTAGATAAATGGATGTCCCTCTGTTTCATACTACGAATAATTTACCTGGGTTCTACAGTAGCCCTCAGTCTATATAACCTATTATTCAAAAAAATTAAAAATCACACTTGTGGTTTCATAGATGGTACATATTTTTAGTGGGGAAAGATGATGAGGGCATACTCTATGAAGTAGTATTTTCCCAACTCTCCTTCTATCATATGGGATTACTTTGGCAACAACTTTCCCAAGTTTGCATTCCACAGTAGCCTTGACAGGTATTTTATTTTGCAACACCACACACTTAAAGGAGATAACATGGTCCCCACATGGTGCTCATGCTCCTGAATTGGGATTATTTACACATGGTGACCAAAGAAGGTCAGTATTACTAAATTTCTCCAGCAATTACTTAGCAAAATATCCTGGCAAAACTAGGAATTCTCCATACCTTTCTCAATAAATCCAATTCACTTCAGCTCTAAATCTGAGTAATTAACAGGCAGCAGAGTGATTTGAACCAGAGAAGATGATCAGGAAAAATGAATTCTGAAGAATTTAAAGATAATTGGGAAAATATCACTTTAGACTCTCCAGCCTCTCTGTCAATATATTATTCTGCATTTGTTCCATACTAAGTACTTTATATATATTAACTCATTTAATTATTTCAGAAATGTTGACAGGTCTTGTTATTCCTATATTACAAATGGAAAATAAAGGCAACAAGAATAGAATTAACTAAGTCCACTTGGTATTTGATAAATATTGCTGCAGTGTAATGGTTTTCTACATAACAAGAATGGCTATTTTATTTTATTTTATTTTATTTTATTTTTAAATCAAGACTCTTTTAATCTAAATCAATCTATGTATCTACCCCTTGTTTAGCATATAATCAAGAAAGAACCATACAAATGGGCAACCAGCAGTCCTCAGGGCTGCTCTGCCTATGGAGTAACCATTCTTTTATTCCTTTACTTTCTACAAATTCACCTGAAATTCTTTCTTTTGTAAGATCAAGGAACCCTCTTTTGGGGCCTGAATCACGACCCCTTTCCTGTAAGTTTGGAGAATTCAGATGAAGGCAAGAAGATGAGAAAAACGTTGGAACTTCCTAGAGACTTGCTAAATTGTTGTGACCAAAATGTTAATAATGATATGAACAATGATGTCTAGGCTGACATGGTCTCAGATGGAGATGAGAAACTTACCGAGAACTAGAGTCAAGGTCACTTTTGCCATGCTTTAGCAAAGAGACTGGCTACATTGTGCCCATGCTCTGGAGATCTGTAGAACTTTAAACTTGAGAGTGACAATTTAGGGTATCTGGTGGAAGAAATTTCTAAACAGCAAAGCTCTCAAAATATGGCTTGGCTGCTTCTGACAGCATATGGTCACATGTGTGCACAAAACATAATATGAAACTGGAACTTATACTTAAAAGGGAAGCAGAGCATAAAACTTTAGAAAACTTGCAGCCTGATTATGTGGTAGAGAAGAAAAATCTATTTTCTGGGAAGGAATTCAAGCTGGCTGCAGAAATTTGCATGAATAAAAAGGAGCCAAATGATAATGGCCAAGACAATGGGGACAATGCTTCCAAGGCATTTCAGAGACTTGGCAGAAGCCACTCCCATTAAAGGCCTGGAGGCCTAGGAGGAAAGAATGGTTTTGTAGGCTGTGCCCAGGGCCCTGCTGCCCTGTGCAACCTTGTGATGCTGCTCCCTGTGTCCCAGCTGCTCCAGCTCCAACCATGGCTAAAAGGGCCCCAGAGAAGTCACAGGCCACTGCTCCAGGGGGCGAAAGCAGGAAGCCTTGGTGGCTTCCATAGGGTTTTAAGCCTGCAGGTACACAGAGGGCAAGAGTTGAGGTTTGGAGCCTCCACCTAGGTTTTAGAGGATGTATGGAAATGCCTGGATGTCCAGACAGAAGTCTGCTGCAGGGGCAGAACCCTCATGGAGAACTTCTACTAAAGCAGTGCAGAGGGGAAATGGGGAGTTGGAGCCCCCACACAGAGTCCCTACTGGGGCACTGCCTAGTGGAGCTGTAAGAAGAGGTCCATCATCCTCTAGACCCCAGATTAGTAGATCCACTGACAGCTTGCAGTGAGTGCCTGAAAAAGCCACAGACAATCAACACCAACCCATGAAAGCAGCTGAGAGGCTGTACCTTACAGAGTCACAGGGGCTGAGCTACCCAAGGCCTTGGGAGCCCACTCCTTGTGTTATTGTGGCCTGAATATGAGACATTGAGTCAAAGGATATTTTTTTGGAGCATTGAGATTTAATGACTGCCCTGCTGGGTTTCAGAATTGCATGGACCTGTAGCCCCTTTGTTTTGGCCAATTGTTTCCTCTTGAAATGGGAGCATGTATTCATTGGCTATATCCCCACTGTATGTTGGGAGTAACTAAATTGTTTTTTATTTTAGAGGTTCATAGGCAGAAGGAGCTTGCCTTGTTTCAGATGTTACTTTGGACTTGGACTTTTGAGTTAATGCTGGAATTAGTTAAGACTTTGGGAGACTGTTGGGAAGGCATGACTGTATTTTGAAATGTGAGAAGAACACATGAGATTTGGGAAGGGCCAAGGACAGAATGATATGGTTTGGCTCTGTGTTACCATGCAAATCTCATGCTAAATTGTAATCCTCAATGTTGGAAGAGAGGCCTGGTGGGAGGCAATTGGATCATGGGGGTGGACTTCCCCCTTGCTGTTTGACACACTATTAAACCTCTTTTCTTTATAAACTATGCAGTCTCAGGTATGTCTTTATAGCAGTGTGAGAATAGGGTAATACATATTTGTTGCTCGGAGTGAAGCAAAGTAATTTCTCCAGTGCAGGGGCTGTATTTACTCACATGGCTAAATGAGTAAGATATATGTGTGATTGAAAACATTTAAAGCAGTGATGAAGTTATTGATCCATTACTTATCCAAGAGGCATAACTGAAGCAACACATATATTTGTAACTTTCAACCTATATTCTTTTCAAGTTTTTGTCTTGATCATTTCCCAATACCCTTAAATGCTTGTCCAGACATTTTTAATTGTTCAGTTTTTGCTGAACAGCATTACCATTATTTACTTAACCAGCTTCTTATTTTATGAATGTTTTCAGGTTTCACAAATATCCCCCAAAATCACACCTTCTGCCTTACTTAGAAATATTTTCAAAAGTTCTATTTTAAGAAATGTAAGGTTATTAACATTTTAAACTGTTGATGCGTAATCCTAAGTTGCTCAAAAACTATAGCAACAAATTTTTCTATCTTAATTATTAAATCACATACTAAACCTATTCATCATTATTTAACAAATATTTTTAGTTTTTTACTTGTCTTCTCATTCAACTTAATTTTTTTCTCACCAGCACATAAACGTTTAACCTTTGTAAAAAAATTAATTTCTTTGCACAATATTTTCTTAAAGTACTTCCTTAGACATAAAATAATAAGGTTTATAATGTATATATCTATATATAAAAACATAAGCCAAAATAAAATACCAAAATCTCAAATATAGTAAATTTCTTTTTGAGAATTAAAATAATATTCTAACATTCTAAGAAGTTTATTACCTATCTAGCTGCTAGACATTTTCTTCTATTATATGGGAAATTTATTTGGAGTGTATACTATTGTTTGGTTTTTGTCTTGTTTTATTTTGCTATAAAATATTGATTCAATTTGAACAATAATGTGGGAATATTCATTTTTTGACATGGTTTCATATTAAAATAATAATCAATGTTTATTATAAATGCATACTTAAATATAAACACTCCCCCAAATTGTAAGTCCAAACTGATCGTTACCAAAATATCATGCCAACATACCAAGAAATAAACTAATAAAATAAACAAATAAACTCCTTTTATTTGTTGGTATGTAAGAGGAGGATAAGAAGAAGATAGGAAAAAAAAAGAACCATTCCTGCAACTATCTTAGCGGTAAGAAAAAACAGTTTGAGTAATAAAAATGCTTCAAAAGCCAAATTCCTCATTTTAGCAGTATGTATAAAAACATAAATGTTTTAGGTATTAGAAAACATCACACTGAATTATGTATTTATCTCAATAAAAGAAAAAGTGGAAGAGAACAAGGAAGGAGAAAAAGAAGGAGAGAGAAAGAAAGAAAGAAATGAAGAGAGAAAGAAAAGATTAATTTAAAAAGCATTAACATAAAACAAAAAAGTTACTGTAAGTAAAAACATCAGCCTTCAAGGATTGACTCGTATTAACTAAAATATCTGTTTTACTATCCTACTATAAGGTCTCACATCATTCTAGTCCAGATGTTTGCACTGTATTAAATATTGTTGATATATCTCATTTGGATCACATAAATAATCTGTCAGCACCAAAGCTGAAAATTAGTGCTAAATTTCTATACTATTAAAGGACTAAGAAGCGTTTCACTTTTCTAATCTATGAAAATGCACTTTGAACAAGAAAATTAGCAAGTTACTAAGGCTAGAAAAATCAGTTACTTAAAGTTTGAATGATATATTAGTTTGCTAGGGCTGCTATAACAAAATATCACAGACTGGGTGACTGAAACAATGAAAATTTATTTTCTAGAGGATAGAAGTCCAAGACCAAGTTGTGAGCAGGAGGATTCTCCTTTGAGGCGTCTCTCTTTTGCTCGCAGATCACTACCTTTTTGTTGTGTCCTCATGTGGCCTTTCCTCTGTGCACACATATCCCTGGTGTCTCCTTGTGTGTCCAAATTTCCTCTTCTTATAAAGACTACTTTGCTGACCTCATTTTAACTTAATCACCTCTTTAAAGGTCCTATCTCCAAATGCAGTCACATTCTGAGTATGGGGGCTATGGCTTCAACATATGAATTTTGGAGGGACACAATTCAGTGCATAACATATGGGAATCTCAATTCCTGTGTTCTATAGCCATATTATTTATGTTCGCTTTCATCTAATAATAAAAGTAAAATTGCATTTAAAGCATACTGTTTCTTTTTAACAAAATCTAACTTGTCTTTGTTTATTTATACCCTTTAAAATGTATGGTAAGTTATAGAGTATTCAAATAATCTAGAACCATACCACTCAGGAATATGTATCATTAAAATGTTGCTGCTTATCTTTCAGAGGTTTATAGTGGATAGCACTTTCTTAATAAACAAAATTAAGATCATACTCCATGTAGTGCTTCAAAATATAAACAGCTTTTATAATTTAACATTACATTGGGTACATTTTATACAAAAGCTCATATAATAGCAAAACATGATTTATAAATATATATCTTACCTATATTTCATAGTTTATTTTACCTTTTCTCCTTTTTATTGGTAGGAATTTATAAATGTATATATTTTCAGTAAAACTATGATAAACAAATTTCTACATAAAATTTATATGTGCCTCTAATTTCAAGTAAATAAATTCTGAGAAAGCGGGCATGCACATAGAATTTTAATCACATTGCCAACTTTTAAAGTAGGAGTGCAGTGTAGGGAATGAGCATGGGTTTTGCAGGTGATGACACCTTGGTTTACTAAGCTCTCCTTCTTACCTATGCGATGTTTTGCAAGATTCTTAAGCTTCAGTTTCCCCATCTGTAAATTGGGGAATATTTTATTCTCCATTTTAGGGAGGAAGATTAGGATTAATGTGAGAACAAGAAACAACACACACAATAAGGATTTAATAAACACAGCTATTATACAGTTAACTATAAAAGCACAAGAAAGTTACAAGCTCAAAATAGCCCCATCAGGTACCAGTGTGCCTTCCTAACTCCTTCTGCTTACATCTGTTGAGTGCCTGACATTTCTGTATTTGCCTCAGCACAATAGAGCATGCACTTGAATTCTTCCCTATTCCCCATCAGTGGTCCATGGACTGGTATTCGTTTATGCTAACTTATTCACACTTTTTGTTCTAATTTACTGTGTTGTCATAAAATTTCCAAAGAGAACTGTATCAGATGCTCACACCTTTTCCACTCTTTTCTAAAACCTGTGTGTATCTAATTACTCTTCTTTCTACCCAATTTAGACCCACATTCCCCTCATGTATCATTTTTTTATTCGCTGACCTTGTTGGAAGAATATATGCCGCTTTGTACTTACTCTCTGAAATGAGCTTCACTCTCAATCTTCCTTTACTAATAATCTTCACCCTCCACGTTATTATTAATTACAGGAAATTCTCCATTCCTTTCCATATTCAGTTGTCTTTCCTTCAATATCAACCAAGCTGTTCAGTCAATATGCGGCAGTGCCCTCTGGAAATTAGCTTTGACAATATCAGGCCAATAAATGGTCCCTCTGCACACGAGCAACATAAACAATTGCCATAAGAGTGATCTAAAGAGAAGAGAACTATCTCAAAACAAACTTCCCTTTCCTTATAGATTGTCTCAGAATGTTCAGATCATTATGGGTTCAGAAACGCAATAGATTTTAAATAATTAGAGAGCAAAATAAATAGAGGCAATCAGTGTCTTTTAAAAAAAATGTTAATTTGGCTAAGATGGATCTAGTTTCCTCAACATCCCTTCTGGGTTAGAGATGGCCAACAGAGTCATTTGAATGAGTTGTAAAGGGTAGAAGTGACGTGACAGACATTACTTTGGGAAGGTTAACTTCAGTGAGACTATGTAAATTGTCTTGTTTTGTGAGTTCCAGCTCGTGCTGGCTCACCCCACTTCATGTTCAGCTCTTATTCCTGACTTCTGGCTCTGCGGACCAGCAACAATTCCAAGCTTACCACCAGGTGTAGAGGCTACAGCCTTCCACAGAATTCCCTGTCAGTTCTACTCCGTGGTCACACACAGCAGCTGGACCCACACGGCTTACCAGACTTTTCTGCAAGTTGTGTGTTTTCCACCTGTACCACTGTTTAGGAAGACTGGTCAGGCCTTTTCTCTGATCCTCCAATTGCCCTTGTGACCCCGACTTCCCAGACTCCTCTCTCAACTATGTTGTGTCTAGTTTCTGTCATAAGTTCTTACTCTATAATATTTATAAGAGTTCTGTTTCCCTGATCAAATACAAATACAGACATTTTCTATTTTTCTTTATTTATCATTTACAACTAGCTACTGTTTGTTTGTTTTATTTATGATCCCAAAGATTACAGCCTCTTATAATTAATCACTATGGACACATACAAAGGGCATGCTATTGATAGTAGAATAGTAAGCATTAGGTTGTTAATCTTGATTTTTTAAGAGTAATGCCTATACAATATAGCCAATTTATATTAAGAAAACAGTCAGGCCTTATATACTTGTGCAAAGTACTTAAGAAATAACTGGAATCATCATCAAACATTTTGAGTATTTCAAATATTTTACATTAAAATAATAAATTGAGTAGAGAGGTGAAGAGTATGACTTTGGAATCAAATATACCTGATTTAAATCCCATCTTCATTTACTATTTAGGTAATTTGTCTATTTATTTAATTGCATAATATGTCAATTACCTCACATGTAAAATTTGCTTCATGGAGTTGTTAGAATTCTGTAATGCATTTATCAAAATCCTTGGCACATACCAAATAATATTATTATAAAGTGACTATCATTAACTAATCTTCTATATTAATCATTTCACATACATCATCTTTAATTAACAGTACTCTATGTGGCAGTTGTGATAAGCTTTATTTTCGATACAGGAAGATTGATGTTTGGGGCCTCTTCCATGCAGACTGAATATCTATACTAATTCATAAATATGTATTTTAGAAAAAAGCCTCTCTTGTACCTATAAAGTAAAAATCAAGAAATAGATAACAATTTTTATTCACTAGACTAATCAAGGAGTGTAGAGAAATGAATAAACCAAAGAGGGCGGTGATCCAAAATTATATCTACCTGATGTTCAAGCATGAATCACCTGCAGCTTCCTTCAGCAGATTTGCTTCCTGATTCAAAACAATGAAATTGTTTTATACCTTATCAGTCAACATAACTAGTGCACAACCCTCAGTTACTTCTGAAAAATGTTAGAAAACAGAAGGAAGTTGAGCTCAAATTCAAAACTGTACAACAATAATCCTCAAAACTGTACAACAATAATCCTCAACACACATAATTTTCCTAAAGACAACCAGAAATTGATAGACTTTAGAAAACACACTGGCTTCTATGGAATTAGTATAGCAACAAGAAATTATCATGAGTTTCCAGTTCTGACACCAAATCTTTGTAAGTTTTAAGACACATTAGGACTTGTTAAAAAACAAGTTTGCTTGTTGTTTTAAATACTAGTTTTGGACAAATCATAATTGACAAATTATAATTGCATTCATTTATGCCATTATATTTTGCAATTGCATACGTTTATGCAATTATTACAATGAAATAATATAATATATGCAAACAATGTATAATGATTAGATCAGGCTAATTAGCATATCAAATTGCTTACCTACTTTTTTAAAATGGTAAAACATTTGAAACTTATTCTCTTAATTATTTTGAAATGTACAATATATTTTTATTAACTATAGTCACGCTGCTATTTTTATTAACTATAGTCATTGCTGTGCAATAGAGCCCAAAACGCATTCTTCTTCTCTGAAACTTTGTACCTTTGAACAACAACGTCCCATTCCCTCCATCCCCATTTACCCAGCCTCTGGTAACCATCATCCTACTCTCTATGTCTATTAGTTAGACTTTTTTAGATTCCACATATGAGATAATGTGGTATTTACAGCTTAGTTTTGTCATCTGTAAAATGAAAATTATAAATCCTAACCTACTGGAATATTGTGAATATTAAAATGAAATAATATAAAGAAATAGAGTTTTATGATATATGGGCAAAAGATGTAAATAGATACTTCACCAAATAAAATATATAGATGCCAAAAAGTCATGAAAATATGCTTAATATCATGATTCATTACAGAAATTTAACTTAAAATTATTATGAGTCACACCTGCACACCTATCATAACGGCTACAAACCAAACAAAACAGTACAAATGGAACAAATATGCTTATATCACATGCTGGTGAGCATACAGGGCAACCAGAACCCTCATACAGCAGGACTTGGATAATATTACACAGCTGCTTTGGAGAAAGTTTATACAAAATTTAAATATACACTTACCCTATGACCTAGCAACCTCACTTCCAGGTATTTATTCAAGGGAAATTAAAAAATATGTTCACACAATATTTTGTATGCTTTTATTTATAGCAGATTTACTCATAATCATCTGAAGGGAAAATATCCAGATGTTCTTCCACTGGTAAATGTATAAACAAACTGTCATAAATTCGTACAATGATATGCTCTCCAGCAATACAAGAAAACAGACTATTGATGCACGCAACAGCATGAACGAAGCTCAACTGTATTATGCAAAGTGAAATAAAACAAATTCAGCCCAAACTAGGGACAAAAAAATCAATGTTTGGTAAAGACTGGGGTCATAAGGAGAACGTGACTATTTATAGGCATAAAGAATATTTTGTGAGAAGATGATGGAACTACTCTAATGTTGGTTTACTGATAGTAACATTACTGTGTGATTGTATCAACAAAGAATTGCATTCTGAAAAGAATACTTTTTACTCTACGTAAATTATACCAAAATAAAAAGACAATCTCATGTTTGTTTAGGCTTTTATAATTTACAACTCACATTTCATACATCATCAGTTTGATCTTCACACAATTTAATTGGTAGATATTATTCTTTTCTTTATTTCATAGTAAAAAATGAACTTTGAATACAAAAAATCAGGATTGATGCCAAGTTTCCTGATTCCTGACCAAGTATTCTCTCTGTCAGACATTAAGATGCCCATATTTGTTCGTGTGAATATAAGTTGCCTGATACTTTAAAATCACTCCATGGTATTTTTCTGATTAAATAGTTTTGCAGTGAACAACAATCCAATGTGTGATACTCTTCATGTTTTCATTTTTTTCCTTATTCTTAGAAAAGGCTGAAAATTTTCCTAGATAATTGACTATCCATCGAAGTTTTGTATTTTATATCTTTATTCTATTGCTATTCTTATCTTGAAAAAAAATTAACGCCTAAAAAATGTATCAACAACCCCCCCGCAAAACAACTGCAAGGGAGCTGCTTTTGGAGAATTTAAGAATAGGTTAGTTTTGTTTCTAGATATAAACTTTCTCACCAGGGACAATAAATTAGACAAGCTAGCAGGTCAGCTTTGAAGGCACTCAAAGCAGACATTCGGCACCATACAGATTACTTTTCTCTAGCAAGACTGATATTTATCCTGTCTCTTTTCTCCCGCAGAGAAAGAAAGCCACACAAAGGAATTATAACCTCATGCAACAAGAAAAATAACACCTTACCCTCAATGTAAGGGTACTCCCTGAAGAGCAATAGCATATCTCTTTTCCCCCAAGAGTTAACCAGCAGCTGGAATGGAGAGGTTCAAACTGGTTTGCCAAACAGTCCTTTCCCCAATCCCCACCAAAATTATAGAACATTCACATCTTCTATATCGCTAAAGAAATTTAGGCTGATTTTAACTGGGAATTATATGGATATCCCTGAAAGAACTGAAATAGAATTGGCTTGTCCCTTGTAAATGATGAACCACATTAACTAAAGGATTGGGGGAGAACAGACAAAAAGAACCACAGAGCCTGTAAGTTTTTTGGCAAAACTAGGATATATGAGGAAAGGCAGTAACAGAAAAAATGGATTTAGAGTCATTTCCATGTTTGCTACTTATTATTGGTAGCTTTAAGCTAGGCCTGTGGCTTTTGTTTGATTGTTAGTTAGAAAGAATTCTTGGCTCATAAGACAAAAAATTAGCTAAAATAGTTTAGAAGAAACATTGCATTTAGCGTAATAATAATACTGGGTGTCTTGTGGAGTCCCAGATAGTAAAAACAGCAGGATAGCAGAAAAGGTAAAAGGAAGAGCTCAAGTTCCATGAAGACATCGCCCCATTAAAAGTCTAACTAGATTCAAATGCCTCCATCTAGACCAATAAATTATAGTCAGAAGGATGAGCAACTCTATTGACCAATACTGAACAAATAAACTATGTAGAGATGCGAATAATTTCCAATATGGTGTCTACATCTGTCACTCTGTAGATAGAGGTATGAAAAATATCTGGTTAAGGAGTGATGGGTGAACATTCCAGCTACTCTGTAGTCAACTGTTTCTGAAAGTGTGGTGACAAAACACCAATTCATCAGATATGGTTTGTAAAATGCAGATCCCTGGGCTCTGACTCAGATTTTTCAGACTGGAATAAAAAAATGGCTTTATCTCAAATTTCCTAGGACATTCATATGCACACTAAAAACTGAGACCCAGCACTCCACGCCTTTTTTTTAATGAATTGAATGTAAGAGCTTCAATGCTTGCCCAGGTTTTTTTATTCCTAGAAATGAATTCTTCTTTGTAAGTGTAAGCTCTGGAATCTATAATCTGGCTCTATAAAACTCTTTGGGTACTGGTCAAAGGTAGAGTTTGCCAGGATACAATGTTTGTCAATTTTGTTTACTAATGTATCTCCAGCACTTGGAGTAGTGGTTGGCACATAGTAGGCACTCAAACCTTAGCTGTATCTGTTAAATTGTTAAATGGTTTTATGTATACTATTGTGATGGATAATTTCATGTGTGAATTTGGGTGGGCCCCTGGATGTCTAGATTAAACACTTTTTCTGGGTATGTATGTGAGGGCGAATCTCCATAATATTAGCATTAGAGGTGGGGGTCTTTTCCAACATGGGGTAACATCATCTGATCCACTGAGGGCCTGAATAGGAAAAAATCCCAAAGAGGGATGAATTCACCTCTTTTTTTCTGCCCCATTGCCTGACCTGGGACCTCTCATCTCCTATTCTGCCTCAAGACTGGGATTTCCATCATTAACTTCCCTGATTCTCAAGTCTGCAGACTCACACTGAATTATGACCCTGCTTTTCTGGATCTCCACTTGCAGATGGAAGATTGGACTTCTCAGTTCTCAGCATCTATAATCACATAAGCTAGTTCCTTATAATAAATCTCTCTCTCTGTTTTTCTGTCTGTCTTTCTCCCCTGTATCTTTCTCTCTCCATTTCTCCATATCTCTTGACCTTTCATATCTGCAGTTTCCAATCAACAGATTCAACCAACTGCTGATTAAAAAATACAATAATCCGGGAATGCAGAACCCACAGATGTGGAGAGACAAGTTTTCATAACAGCAGGTTCCTTTAGGCTAATTGGGAGACTTGAGCATCGACAGATTTTGGTATCTACAGGGCTCCCAGAACCAATCTCAGATGATACTAAAGGATGACTGTAAAAATATATATATAAATGATATATGATATATATATGAGATATATATGACATAAGGGTTCTCCAAAGAAACAGATATTAGTCAGGGTTCCTCAAAGAAACAGAAACAATGGTGTGTGTGTGTGTGTGTGTGTGTGTGTGTGTGTATATATTCAATTATTATTTAGTAGCAAAATAATACTAGGTATAAAATAACAATTACCTTTTTGTCTAAGAACAGACTCATTGTGATGCTAGATCATGAGCTGGAGTAGTACATTGTTAATCCATAATCATCTTTTTGTTCTCTTTATGTACTCTTCTCCTTAACTGTGAGCCCTTAAAATAAGCCATGCCACCAATTTTCAGCCCAGATTCATGTGTAGTTTTTTTTTCCCACTTCAAAACATTCTTCCTCATGGAATTATTTTATTCTAAGTTTGTAAGTCCCAGTAACTTAAATACATTTGTTCAGTGAAATAACATTTGTCTAAGTTTACCTTCTTTAGTCAGGCAAAAAGTAATAGCAAATCTCTGTGGGTATCAGAACAGAATATTGAAAAGACAGCTACTACTGTAATACATAGATGAGGAACTGAGGATTTTGGCTTTATCTCACCCAAACTCTACTGCTTTATTTCTTGTTTAAATGTTAAATGTATGTTGTATTATTCCATTTTCACACTGCTATAAAGAACTGCTCGAGGCTGGGTAACTTATAAAGAAAATAAGTTTCATTGACTCACAGTTCCATATGTCTGAGGAAGCCACAGAAAACTGACAATTATGGCAGAAGGGGAAGTAGGAGTGTCTTACATGGTGTCAGATGAGACAGAGCATATGTAAGAGGAACTGTCAAACACTTATAAAACCATCAGATCTCATGAGAACTCACACACTATCAGGAGAATAGCATGGGGGAAACTGTCCCCATGACCCAATCACCTCCCACCATGTCCTGCCCTCAAAACATGGGGATTATGAGGATTACAATTCAAAATAAGATTTGTGTGGGGACACAGCCAACCCATATCATTTCTCCCCTAGTCTTTCCCAAAGTTTATGTCCTTTTTGCGTTTCCAAACCAATCATGCCTTCCAGACAGTACTCCAAACTCTTAACTCATTTCAACATTAACTCAAAAGAATACAGTCCAAAGTCTCATCTAAGATAAGGTAAATCCCTTCAGCCTATGAGCCTGTAAAATCAAAAGCAAGTTAGTTACTTCCAAGATACAAGGAGGGTACAGGCATTGGATAAATACTCCCATTCCAAATGGGAGAAATTGGCCAAAACAAAGGGGCTACAGGCCCACGCAATTCTGAAACCCAGCAAGACAGTCATTAAATCTTAAAGTTCTGAAATGATCTCCTTTGACTCCATGTCTCACATTCAGGGCACATATGCAAGAGGTGGGCTCCCACGGCCTTGGGCAGCTCCACCCCTGTGGCTTTACAGAGTACAGCCTCCTGGCTGCTTTAATGGGCTGATGTTGAGTGTCTATGGCTTTTCCAGGCATAGGGTACAAGCTGTCAGTGAATCTACCATTTGGGGATCTAAAGGACAATAGCCGTCTTCTCACAGCTCCACTAGGCAGTGCCCCAGTGGGACTCTGTGTGGGGGCTTCAATCCCACATTTCCCTTCTACATTGCCATAGCAGATTCTCCATGAGGGCTCCAGCCCTGAAGCAGACTTCTGCCTGGGCATCTAAGTGTTTCCATACATCTGCTGAAATCTAGGAGGAGGTTCCCAAACCTCAATTCTTAAATTCTGTGCACCTGGAGGCTCAAAACCAGGTGGAAGCTGCCAAGCTTGGGACTTGCACCCTCTGAAGCAATGGCCCAAGCTCTACCTTGCCCCCTTTTAGCCATGGCTGGAACTGGAGCAGATGGGATTCAGGATACCAAATCCTGAGGCTGTGCAAAGCAGTGGGCCCTGGGCCCATCCCACAAAACCATTTTTTTCTTCCTAGGCCTCAGGGCCTGTGATGGTAGGGGTTGCTCTAAAGGTCTCTGACATGCCCTCGAGTCATTTGTACCACTGTCTTGACTATTAACATTTGGCTCCTCATTACTAATGCAAATTTCTGCAGCCCTCTTGAATTTCTCCCCAGAAAATGTATTTTTCTTTTCTACTTCATGGTCAGGCTGCAGATATTCCAAACATTTATTCTCTGCTTCCTCGTGAAAGCTTTGCTGCTTAGAAATTTCTTCTGTCAAATACCCTAAATCAATTATCTAATGTTTGAAGTTTCACAAATATCTAGGGCAGGGGCAAAGTGCCACCAGTCTCTTTGCTAAAGCTTAACAAGAATGACCTTTACTTCAATGCCCAATAAATTCCTCATTTCCATCTGAGATCACTTTAGCCTGGACTTCATTGTTCACATCACTATCAGAATTTTGGTCAAAATTATTAAACAAGTCTCTAGGAAGTTCCAAACTTTCCCACTTCTTTCTGTCTTTTTCTGAGCCCTTCAAGCTATTACAATCCCTGTATAATACCCAGTTCTGAAGTTGCTTCCACAATTTCAACTATCTTTACAGCAGTATCCCAGTCTCTGTGGTACCAATTTACTGTATTAGTACATTTTAACACTACCATAAATAACTACCCAAGACTGAGTAATTTATATAGAAAAGAGGTTTAACTGACTCAGTTCCACATGACTAAGGAGGCCTCAGGAAACTTAAAATTATGATGGAACGGGAAGCAGACATGTCTTACATGGCAGCAGGTGAGAGAGAAGGTGTGTAGGAGGAACTGTGAAACACATATAAAGCCATCAGATCTCATGAGAACTCACTCACTATCAGGAGAACAGCATGGGTGTAAACAGCCCCATGGTCAAATCACTACCCACCAGGTCCCATCCTTGACACATAGGGATTGTGGGGATTACAATTTGAAATAGAGATTTGTCTGGGGACACAGAGCCAAACCATATCACATGCTTCAATATTAATATGCACATGATCAATAAAACTAGTGACATGATGCAGTAATTATGTAGAAAAATATAACTAGTCCCACCCATCACTTGTCTACCTAAGAAAACCTTATAGTATAGCTTTACATGTTTCTTTTGTTTTTTATTTTAATGAGATAGTATTATACACATTTTATGGCAACGTGTTTTCCTCAATAGTATTTATGGATTTCTCTCCTGGCTATTAGATTATCCAGTGCAATTTTATCTCATTCTTTTTTAATATTTTCAAATTTAGATTCAAATCAATTTATTTTACTTTTTTTCTGTAAATATTCAGTTTGCCTCCAATGCTTTGCCAATATAAACCACACCATGGTGAAATTTTCTATAAGTAATATTTTCAAAATGTGCATCAAAATGCATATACTTTTTACTTTTAATGAACTTTTCTAAATTAGATTTTTAAATAAAAGCTTGTATTCTCATTAGCAATGCATCCCTATTTTATATGTTCACTCACATAAGATCTTCCTTTACTATTTTTTTTCTAATTTTATAAGGCAACATCTCATTGTAGCTTTTATTATACTTTTTCTAAATGACTGATGAGCTTGAACAATTTTCATAAATTCATTAGCCATTGCTGCAACTAAATTTCAAGGAATCTGGAACACTTAAGTTATTTCTTCAGGAAACTTTTCAGAAACACTTCCATCACCTGAAAAATACAAAGATATTACTTGGTATCAAGTATATAGATGCTAACATTATGAGAAAACAGAACCATAGGAAATGAATGGTCCTCTGTCTTTATCGCTTACCATATGGAGTATACTGAGGCAGTAGTCAAGGTGTGAGCAGGTAGCACCATAAACAGACTAGACTCAGCATCATTCTGGAAGGACTCTGCACATTTGTGAGGAGTTTAATAGTGCTGTGATAGTATGGAGAAAGATGAATCTAAATAAGGTGAAAGGATAGCCATAGAGAAGCTTTGTTCTAACTAGAAGCCAGGCCAGTCATGAACAAGAAAAGAACCTGTTGGTGGAGTTAAAATGAAGTCTTCTAAGGATTGATTAAACAGCTAAGCCTTCATATGTAAGTTAAATGTACAAACACTAACCAGCAAGTGACTTGTAGACTTTTGTCTATTCTGGCTATTCTTAGAAGGCTATGTTTTCTTCTGAGAAAAACAGAATAGTGCACTAAATAAAGCTCCTGGGCAGCATCCAAATGACCATGGCCATGCCAACTCAGAGAAGCACTGGCAATTTACTCAGGGAACTCCTTCAACTGCTTCCTCACCATCCTGAGGAAGATCAAGCTGTATGTTTATGATGACAAAGACATAGACCAAATAGACAAAATTACTGAAATGACTTCTGGATGTCTCTCCCATCATTTGAAGGAATTCTCCAACCCAAACCTTGGACATCACCTATTCCTTTGCAAGCCTGATGGATTTGGAATTATCAAACATATTAACATCAACATTTCAGTGAGTCTCATCTTCAGCAGCAATCCCATTGAAAGCCTTTGAACAAGCAACCACTTTTACTCTTCAGTGCCTCTCTTGACAGAGCTGTCACATTGCTGGAAGCCCTGAGGACAGTGGGCTAACTAATGCTGCCCCTTCTGCGTGGAGATAGGTCAATGCAGACCTGTCTGAGGTCTCCCTGAATGACCTGATTCAATGCAGGCTAACCAGTCAAGAGCAAGACTCTTGTTCCTGCAGAGAATATCTAGTTCTTCATAGGAAAATCACAAAAAGAAATGGTTCTGCTGCCTTTAGGAGAAATCAAAGCCTGCTCAAGATACTAATTTTTTTTTTCTGCTGCAAAAGAGATGTACGAATAAAGTGGACACATTTCAATCAAGTGGGCTCTTTTGAGTAGTTAAATCCTGGGAAGATAAGCAAAGGAAAAAAAAAAGACTACCAGAATAAAATGTCACTTCCAATTTTTCCCTCTTCAACATAAATAGTCTGTCATCCAGATGAGTCATCTTGTCACATTGAATTACCTAATAGAGCAGGCCAGTGCCCATAATTCAAAAAATTATGTCTCTCCTTTAAAACCAATTGTG
Source organism: Homo sapiens (assembly GCF_000001405.40). NCBI lineage: Eukaryota > Metazoa > Chordata > Mammalia > Primates > Hominidae > Homo > Homo sapiens. The sequence continues at coordinate 116,545,913 of NC_000002.12, forward strand.
ACATAAACCCATTTACGATAAGTGGCTGCAAGTTCCCAAAGTGTTTATCCCTGAGTATAATGAGACTGAATTTATGGCAAGAGATGGAGGTGAAGAGACATGCCAGATACCAAGAGGGAAGGCCCTTTTTTAAAGATGTTGTCAGTGGGGCAAGATATTGATAAATAAGTTTGTGGGAATCAAATTATAAATTATAGCAGCCTCACTGGAAGAGCTTCAGCCTCTGAAATGATGGAGCAATATTGCATGGTTTTATCCCTTTGGTACCTCCATTTGAGTATCTTTAATGATATTTCATGTTTAATAATGATATAACAGTACTTTTTACTCACTGTTCCAGAAAAAGAATGCCAAGCGAACATATGTTGTGTGCACTCATGAAAAGCAAATGGATAGTAAGGATACTTAATTGTATATGTGGGGTTAATGTCAAAATGCTTTTATAAGTTAGGCTAGATTTTATTATGCATGAAGTAGAAGATGATAGTCTATGTCAAACTGATCATTTAATGTTAAACTTAGCAGATCAATATTACATGAATAGTATATTTTATGAAATAAAGTTCAAGTAATTGCTTTGGGAAATTTAAAGAACAAGATGTTCCAGATATTTAACTTTTAATATTTTTCCATTTTTGAAAGGAATTGACAAGTATGGCTACCCACTATGGACTCTTCTACCAATCTGTGAGATTTTGACCATTTCATTTTTACACCTGTCTATATACAACCACTGAGTGACTACTGTGTGCCAGATCCCGTGCAGGTCAGTGAAGACACAAATGCAGAGAGGTTCACCCCTGCCTGCAAGATTTTTGTATTCTAATAGAAGGCAGATCTGCAAATAATGGCAAAAACATGAGATATGTGCCGTATTTGAAACATAAACAAATGCAATAACAGCAGGTGGAAAACGGCATATAAATTTACCTAAAGAAAGAAGATCAACCTTCAAAGAGAAAGTAAATTAGATTTCTAGAAATATGGAAATTTGCTACACTAAATCTTGGGAGGGCATTCTAGGTGCACATGAGAAATATTTGTGAATTAGTGTAAAAACAAGTAATGTAATTTCTCAAAACAAAGAATGAGTCATACAAAAAAGTGTAGAGATATAGGAGAAGTCATATCACGATAGAGCTTTTATGTTAATAATTATTTTCTAATAAGTTAAAAGAAATTTAAAAACATGAAGCATAGAAGTTACAAGATCAGCTTTAGAAAATGTAGAAATTTTGGTTGTGCCAATCACAGACTGGAAGGTCGTAGGAATCAGGTGGAATGAATGTCAGAAATCCCAGTAAGAAAAGACTCATTTGCCAAGAGCCTGAATTAGGACTATGACATTTCTTCTAAATTGCCACAGTTATGTAGTTATGTTTGCAGAGTTGTTTATAGTATTCCTTACTATCATCTCATTATCTGTGAGGATAGCAGTGAATATATTGTCTTTCATTCCCATTATCAACTATTTCTCTTTTGCTTTAGTCTTTCTAGAGTTTTATCAACTTTGTTCATCTTTTCATAAAACCTCTTTTGTTTTAATTTTTCTGTATGTTTTTCTGTTCTTATTTTTGTTGTTTTCTCTTATCACCCTTGTTACTTTCTTTCCTCTGCTTGATTTAATTTTGGTTTATTTCTCTATTCTTTTTCTAATTTTTTAATGTGGAAGCATGTTACTGTATTAACAAATTTCTTCTTTACTAATATAAGCATTTTAGTGCTATAAATTTCCCTCTAAGCATTGTTCTAGCTGCATCTTACTAATTTTTCATTTTTATTGAGTTCAAAGTATTTTCTAAATTATGTTAAAATTACCTCTTTGCCTCAAAGATTATTTTGATGTGCGTTGTTTAATGTTTCAGTGTGTAGAGATTTTCTTCATATCCTTCTCCTAGTAATTTCTAATTTAATTTCATAAGGCCTGAAAATATACTTTGTACAGTTTTAAACCTTTTAAATTTGTTAAGGTCTAATTTGCAGCACAGGTTTGGTATATCTACTTTAGTATTACAAATACATTTGGGTGGGGTGTTCTACAAATGTCAGTTAGATCTAGTTAGTTTATGGTATTCTTAGTTTTTCTAAAGCCTCACTTATTTTCTACCCACTATAATATTACTCAGAAAGAAGTATTGAGATTAATTATAACCGTGGACTTAACTATATCTTATTTTAGTCCCGTTAGATTTTGCTTCATGCATTTTCAAGCTCTGTGGTTAGGTGCATACATATTTAGAAGTTCTAAGTTTTCCTGGTGAATTATCCCTTTTATTAATATCTCTGTTTTCCCTGGTAATTATTTTTTGTTCAATATGAATATAGCCACTCTAGCTTTCTTTTGTTTCATTATTGCCCAAAAAAACTTTTTCTACACTCTTTTTCTTAATTCTACTTGAAGTGAACTTTGTGTAGACATCATAAAGTTAAATTATATTACATATTCTATCTGAAATTCTGTACTTTAATTAGTATGTTTAGATATTTACATTTAATGTAATTACTCATATGCTTATAATTAAGTATAATAATATGTATATTCAACTTTTTCATATTTACCTTTAAAGCCTATTCAGAATCAATATTTTACTATGTCATTTGGAATATAGAAATATTAACATTGTATAGGTCCCCTTGTTCTTTTATGCTACATACATGTCTTACACATTTTTTCTACACACAGTAAAAACCTCATCTGGCAATGTTATACTCTCTGATTGTAGTTGAAACCAGAATTGCCAGAATGCTGTTTTTAATAATTCAAGAGAGGAAAAGATGAAGATTTACCTGGATATTTTCCAATTCTGTTGTTCTCTTTTATTACTTAAGTCCCAAGTTTGTTTCAATTTATACTTCCAGTAAACCACTTCTCAGTTTTTCTTTAACTAAGTGCCTTAATTTCACCTTCATTCCTAAAGAAGATACAATAATTGGATATATGATTCAGGATTACTTTCCATCATTAAAAATATTATGCCACTTCCTTCTGAACTCAATGGTTAATTATGAGAATTTTATATTCTTTTAAATATTTGTTTATCTATAGGTAATCATTTTTCTTTGACTATTTCCAGTTTTTTTTTGTCTTTTGTTTTCACTGGTTTGTTATAATGTGTCTGAGTAGATTTCCCTCTGAGGGTTTGTTCAGCATATTGAATTTGTAAGTTTATATCTTGTGTCAATGTAAGACATTGTCAGCTGTCATTTCTTCCCATTTTTGTCATTTCTTCCAGAGAAGAATCTCTGTCCTCTCTTTCTGGGACTTTGATAAAACAAATGTTTGAAATTTCTTTGTTTTTTCAATGATCCGTCATCTCTGTTCATTTTTTCCTATTTTTTAAATCTCATTTTCAGATTGCATAAATTTTATTGCTCTATCTGCAAATTTACCAACTTGTATTTTTCTTCTCTGTTCTGATATTAAGTCAATCCGATAAGGATTTATTTTGATGGTATTTTTTATATCTACAATTTTCTTTTGATTCTTTTTTATTTATCTTTTTTGAGGCTTTCTATTTCAACACATTTTCAAGAGTATTTATAATTCCTAGTTAGAGCATTTCTGTAATAGCTGCTTTAATGTCCATCAGATATTTTCAATACCCATGTCATATTGGTGTTGCTGATTATCTTCTCCCACAGGAGTCAAAATTTTCATGTTTTTAAAAACTATTTTATGATTTTTGATTTTATCCTGCACATTTACATATTATGTTGTAAAATTCTAGGTTTTAAAACATTCTATGAAAATGTTATTATTTTTGTTTTAGCAGATCATTGAACTGATTAGTTTAAACCACTAGTTTTATCCTGCTTCCTGAGTGTCCTGGTTCTAATATTATATTTATTTTCAAAACCTTGGTAGTAGTCTTCAAATTTGTTCAAGACATGTACCATTTAATGGTCATTCTGGGACCTAGATAGTGGCCTTTTAATTCATTTCTCAAAGGGTTTGGCATGCTGACTAGAATCAGTCCTGCCATGTAGAGCTTGGAGGTGAGCTCTGGAGTTCATAAAATTTTTTAAAATATATTTTCTTAGTCCATTCCTCTACATAGCCTCTTTTGTCTTTTATGGTTTACCAGAGATTCCATTTCAGTCCTGTGGACAGAAAATTGAGATTCTATTTTACCTGTTCTGCTGTGTATTGCTAATGTTGTGCCTGCAATTCAGCCACTTTTAAATTGGTTCTACTAAATAATGCAGAATAATGTTCCCATCTTGGGTTCTTTAATCTTAATGACAAGTGTCAACACAATTTTTCATGTGGAAACAGGTTTGAGGTGATAGATTATGGACAACTTTGTCGGTCAATTATTCTGCCTACCATAGCCCAACTTCTGGCCTTCAAAATTCCCATCTTTCACACATGCAGAAGACATTCACCACATCCCAAGATCCCCAAAAGCATCAATCCATTAAACATCAACAAAATCACTTCTAAATTTTATCAGATCAAAATTCCAAATATTATCTACATTAGATATGAATGAAGGGGATCTAATTTGTTCTCAGGCGCAATTCTTCTTTATGTGTGAACATGTGAAACTTAACAAACAAGGTACTGGCTCCAAAAAAAAATCATGATGGAACAGCCATAGAAAAATAATTTTAGACATACTAGTAGTAAAATGGAGAAAATGAAATGGGAAAAGCAGTTACTAACACCAATCAATTTAAAATTTCAGCTAAGTAAACTACATTTGCTTTCCAGAGAATAATCCTCTTTGACTCATGGATCTATCTCTGGACTCACAGCTCTGCTCCCTGGACTTGCATCTCTGGTCTCAGAAGAGAACAGAAATGCTGCTCATATGTGTTTGCAGCTGAGTGGTTGTACCGATCTGCTTCCTGCCAGGATAATATTTGAGGTCTTTCATGTTGTACTCTCTTCCCCTTTTGGTCCAAACTGTCATTGGTTTTACTATGTGAAATTCCCAAAAATCATGTGGATTTTCTGTAGGTTAATCTGGATTTACTTCATTACATAAAAGGCCCATCTACAAATTTTTCATAGAAAAATCCTTTTACATTTTTGACTTTTACTTATATGGCTGAGGGAGCATATTCTTAAGCTTTTCAGATGCTCTCTGGAGCCAACCTATTTGTTGCACTTTTAATCTCTTCTAGGCATCTTTGTGTGATTGAAAAGTCTGACGTTTTCTTCTAAGATATTAGCAAAGGGTTGTAGGGCCACATCCTCAATTTCGCCTTTAGAGGACGCCTTTCTGACATGGAAACTCTTCATTTTGGAAGCTTTTTTGATCTTAATAGGCTGAAAGTTTTCAAAATCAAGTCCCACTTCTTTTGTGTTTAACAGTTCTCCTCTCAATTTACTGTTTTTCTCTCCAATTTTACTGTAAGCAACATGAAGAAACCAGACCACATCTCTAACATTTTGCTTGAAAATCTCCTCAGCTAAATGTCCAATTTGTCATTTACAAGTTCTATTTTTCACCTAATTTTAGGACACATTTGCACTAAACTTGCTGCCACTATATAACAAGTATCTCCTTTCCTCCACTTTCCGATAACATGTTCTTCACTTCCTCCTAAGCCCCCATCAACATCAACTTTAAGGTTCCCATTTTTATTTGCAGTCTGTTCACAACCATTTAGGTGTTCTCTAGGGGCACATGGTTTTCTATCATGCTTCTCACTTCCTTCTGAGCCCTCACTGACAGAATCATCCACATTCATATTTTTGCTAAGTTTTTGCAAGGCAATCTAGATATTTTCCATCATCCTACTCAAAATTCTTCCAGCCTCTTCCTAGTGCACAATTCCCATTCCACTTCTGCAATTTCAGGTATTTTTTACATCAGAACTCCAGTTTCAGATATGAACATCTTTATTTGCTTTCTATTGCTGCTGTAACACATTTTCACAAACTTAATGTTTTAAAACAACAAAAAAAGTCAGACATTCAACATACATCTCACTAGGCTAAAATCAAGGCATTAACAGGGCTGCTTTTCCTCCTGGAGGCTCTAAGTGAGAAGCCATTGCCTTGCCTTTTCCAGCTTCTGGATGTCACCCACATTTCTTGCGCCCCTTTATCTCTCATTTTCAAAGCTGGTAACAGTGCAGTCTCTCTGACCCTTCTGTAGTCTTTGCATCTTTTGCAGACTGCAGCTAGGAAAGGTTGCTGTGATTTTAAGAATTCATGTGATTAGATTGGACCAGGTTGGAGAATTCTCATCTCAATTTCTTTAGTCTTTTTTATTTATTTATTTATTGAGAAACAGTCTGGCTCTGTCACCCGGGCTGGAGTGCAGTGGCACGATCTCGGCTCAATGCAACCTCTGCCTACTGGGTTCAAGCGATTCTCCTGCTTCAGCCTCACCGGTAGCTGGGATTACAGGCACCTGCAACTGCACCTGGCTAATTTTTATATTTTTAGTAGAGACAGGGTTCCGCCATGTTGGCCAGGCTCTTCTCGAACTCCTGACCTCAGGTGATGCACTCGCCTCGGCCTCCCAAAGTGCTGGGATTACAGGCATGAGCCATCATGCCCAGCCAAATTCCTCAATCTTAACCACAGCTACAGAGTCCCTTTTGCCATGTAAGGCAACATATTTATACCTTCCATGGATGAGGGTATGGGCATCTTTTTGTTTGGGAGAGCATTATTCTGACTACCACATAATGGAAACTAGAGGTTAATCTGATAAGTGGAGAACATATTCTGTCTATGGTGAATCAGGAAAGCAAGCAAGCTGAAAATACTGTACACCCTTATTTCATGGGTTAAGAAGTAAAACAAATCTGTAAATCTTGGATGAATGATTGATCAAACTCATTTATAATACACTCTATGCCTAAATTGCATAAATTCTCTACCATGTAAAATCCCCGATAGTTGATAATTTCAGCTGTGAGAGAGGATTGAATAAAGTTTGAGGCGGGGGAGGTTCCAAGATGGCTGAATAGGAACAGCTTCAGCCTGCAGCTCCTAGCGTGAGCGACGCAGAAGACGGGTGATTTCTGCATTTCCAACTGAGGTACAGGGTTCATCTCATTGGGGCTTGACAGACAGCAGGTGCAGCCCACGGAGCAGGGCGGGGCATTGCCTCACCCGGGGTTGGGAAATTCCCCTTTCCAGCAAAGGGAAGCCGTGACAGAGGGTACCTGGAAAATCAGGACACTCCCACCCTAATACTGAGCTTTTCCAACGGGCTTATCAAACGGCACACCCAGGAGATTTTATCCCGCACCTGGCTCGGAGGGTCTCACACTCACGGAGCCTCGCTCACTGCTAGCATAGCAGTCTGAGATTGAACTGCAATGCAGCAGTGAGGCTGGGGGATGGGCGTCCACCATTGCTGAGGCTTGAGTAGGTAAACAAAGCGGCTGGGAAGCTCGAACTGGGTGGAGTCCACCGCAGCTCAAGGACACCTGCCTGCCTCTGCAGACTCCACCTCTGGGGGCAGGGCATAGCTGAACAAAAGGCAGCAGAAACTTCTGCAGACTTAAACATCCCTGTCTGACAGCTTTGAAGAGAGTAGTGGTTCTCCCAGCATGGAGTTTGAGATCTGAGAACGGACAGACTGCCTCCTCAAGTAGGTCCCTGACCCTGAGTAGCCTAACTTGGAGACACCTCCCAGTAGGGGCCAACTGACACCTCATACAGCTGGGTGCCCCTCTGAGACAAAGCTTCCAGAGGAAGGATCAGGCAGCAACATCTGCCGTTGTGCAATATTCGCTGTTCTGCAGTCTCCACTGGTGATACCCAGGCAAACAGGGTCTGGAGTGGACCTCCAGCAAACTCCAACAGACCTGGAGCTGAGGGTCCTGACTGTTAGAAGGAAAACTAACAAATGGAAAGGACATCCACACCAAAACCCCATCTGTACATCGCCATCATCAAAGACGAAAGGTAGATAAAACCAGAAAGATGGGGAGAAACCAGAGCAGAAAAGCTGAAAATTCTAAAAATCAGAGTGCCTTTTCTCCTCCAAAGGAACGCAGCTCCTCGCCAGCAACAGAACAAAACTGGGCGGAGAATGACTTTGACGAGTTGAGAGAAGGCTTCAGATGATGGGAAATAACAAACTACTCCGAGCTAAAGTAGGATGTTCGAACCCATCACAAAGAAGCTAAAAACCTTGAAAAAAGATTAGATGAATGGCTAACTAGAATAAACAATGTAGAGAATTCCTTAAATGACCTGATGGAGCTGAAAACCGTGGCACAAGAACTACGTGATGCATGCACAAGCTTCAGTAGCTGATTCGATCAACTGGAAGAAAGGGTATCAGTGATTGAAGATCAAATGAATGAAATGAAGTGAGAAGAGGAGTTTAGAGAAAAAAGAGTAAAAAGAAATGAACAAAGCCTACAAGAAATATGGGACTATGTGAAAAGATCAAATCTACGTCTGATTGGTGTACCTGAAAGTGACAGGGAGAATGGAACCAAGTTGGAAAACACTCTTCAGGATATTATCCAGGAGAACTTCCCCAACCTTGCAAGGCAGGCCAACATTCAAACTCAGGAAACACAGAGAATGCCACAAAGATACTCCTCGAGAAGAGCAACTCCAAGACACATAAATTGTCAGACTCACCAAAGTTGAAATGAAGGAAAAAATATTAAGGGCAGCCAGAGAGAAAGGTCGGGTAACCCACAAAGGGAAGCCCATCAGACTAACAGCGGATCTCTCAGCAGAAACTCTACAAGCCAGAAGAGAGTGGGGGCCAGTATTCAACACTCTTTAAGAAAAGAATTTTCAACCCAGAATTTCATATCCAGCCAAACTAAGCTTCATAAGTGAAGGAGAAATAACATCCTTTACAGAAAAACAAATGCTGAGAGATTTTGTCACCACCAGGCCTGCCTTACAAGAGCTCCTGAAGGAAGCACTGAACATAGAAAGGAACAACTGGTACCAGCCACTGCAAAAACATGCCAAATTGTAAAGACCATCAATGCTAGGAAGAAACTGCATCAACTAACAAGCAAAATAACCAGCTAACATCATAATGACAGGATCAAATTCACACATAACAATATTAACTTCAAATGTAAATGGGCTAAATGCTCCAATTAAAAGACACAGACTGGAACACTGGATAAAGAATCAAGACCCATCAGAGTGCTGTATTCAGGAGACCCATCTCATGAGAAGAGACACACAGAGCCTCAAAATAAAAGGATGGAGGAAGATCTATCAAGCAAATGAAAAATAAAAAAAAAAAAAGCAGGGGTTGCAATCCTAATCTCTGATAAAACAGACTTTAAACCAACAAAGATCAAAAGAGACAAAGAAGGCCATTACGTAATGGTAAGGGGATCAATTCAACAAGAAGAGCTAACTATCCTAAATATATATGCAGCCAATACAGGAGCACCCAGATTCATAAAGCAAGTCCTTAGAGACCTACAAAGATGTTTAGACTCCCACACAATAATAATGGGAGACTTTAACACCCGCCTGTCAACATTAGACAGATCAATGAGACAGAAAGTTAACAAGGATATCCAGGAATTGAAGTCAGCTCTGCACCAAGCAGACCTAATAGACATTTCCAGAACTCTCCACACCAAATCAACAGAATATACATTCTTCTCAGCACCACATTGCACTTATTGCAAAATTGACCACATAGTTGGAAGTAAAGCACTCCTCAGCAAATGTAAAAGAACAGAAATTATAACAACCTGTCTCTCAGACTACAGTGCAATGAAACTAGAACTCAGGATTAAGAAACTCACTGAAAATCACTCAACTACATGGAAACTGAACAACCTGCTCCTGAATGACTGCTGGCTACATAACAAAATGAAGGCAGAAATAAAGATGTTCTTTGAAACCAATGAGGACAAAGACACAACATACCAGAATCTCTGGGACACATTCAAAGCAGTGTGTAGACGGAAATTTATAGCACTAAATGCCCACAAGAGAAAGCAGGAAAGATCTAAAATTGACACCCTAACATTACAATTAAAAACACTAGAGAAGCAAGAGCAAAGACATTCAAAAGCTAGCAGAAGGCAACAAATAACTAAGATCAGAGCAGAACTGAAGGAGATAGAGACACAAAAAAAACCCTTCAAAAATCAATGAATCCAGGAGTTGGTTTTTTGAAAAGATCAACAAAATTGATAGACTGCTAGCAAGACTAATAAAGAAGAAAGAGAGAAGAATCAAATAGACACAATAAAAAATGATAAAGGGGATATCACCACCGATACCACAGAAATACAAACTACCATCAGAGAATACTATAAACACCTCTACGCAAATAAACTAGAAAATATAGAAGAAATGGATAAATTCCTGGACGTATACACCCTCCCAAGACTAAACCAGGTAGAATTTGTACCAATAACAAGTTCTGAAATTGAGGCAGTAATCAATAGCCTACCAACCAAAAAAAGTCCAGGACCAGATGGATTCACAGCCGAATTCTACCAGAGGTACAAAGAGGAGCTGGTACCATTCCTTCTGAAACTATTCCAATCAATAGAAAATGAGGGAATCCTCCCTAATTCATTTTATGATGCCAATATCATCCTGATACCAAAGGCTGGCAGAGACACAACAAAAAAAGAAATTTTAGACCAATATCCCTGATGAACATTGATGCAAAAATCCTCAATAAAATACTGGCAACCCAAATCCAGCAGCACATCAAAAAGCTTATGCACCATGATCAAGCTGGCTTCATCCCTGGGATGGAAGGTTAGTTCAACATATGCAAATCAATAAACGTAATCCATCATATAAACAGAACCAAAGACAAAAACCACATGATTATCTCAATAGATGCAGAAAAGGCCTTCGACAAAATTCAACAGCGCTTCACGCTGATCTTTGACAAAACTGACAGAAACAAGAAATGGGAAAGGATTCCCTATTTAATAAATGGTGCTGGGAAAACTGGCTAGCCATATGTAGAAAGCTGAAACTGGATCCCCTCGTCACACCTTATACAAAAATTAATTCAAGATGGATTGAAGACTTAAATGTTAGACCTAAAACCATAAAAACCCTGGAAGAAAACCTAGGCATTACCATTCAGGACATAGGCATGGCCAAGGACTTCATGTCTAAAACATCAAAAGCAGTGGCAACAAAAGCCAAAATTGACAAATGGGATCTAATTAAACTCAAAAGCTTCTGCACAGCAAAAGAAACTACCATCAGAGTGAACAGGCAACCTACAGAATGGGAGAAAATTTTTACAATCTACTCATCTGACAAAGGGCTAATATCCAGAATCTACAAAGAACTTAAACAAATTTACAAGAAAAAATCAAACTACTCCATCAAAAAGTGGGCGAAGGATATGAACAGACACTTCTTAAAAGAAGACATTTATGCGATCATTAAAAAGTCAGGAAACAACAGGTGCTGGAGAGGATGTGGAGAAATAGGAACACTTTTACACTATTGGTGGGACTGTAAACTAGTTCAACCATTGTGAAAGACAGTGTGGCAATTCCTCAAGGATTTAGAACTAGAAATACCATTTGACCCAGCCATCCTATTACTGGACATATACCCAAAGGATTGTAAATCATGCTGCTATAAAGACACATGCACACGTATGTTTATTGCGGCACTATTCACAATAGCAAAGACTTGGAACCAACCCAAATATTCATCAATGATAGACTGGATTAAGAAAATGTGGCACATATACACCATGGAATACTATGCACCATATAAAAGGATGAGTTCATGTCCTTTGTAGGGACATGGATGAAGCTAGAAACCATAATTCTGAGCAAACTGTCACAAAGACAGAAAACCAAACACTGCATGTTCTCACTCATAGGTGGGAAATGAACAACGAGAACACTTGGACACAGGGTGGGGAACATCACACACTGGGGGCCTGTCGTGGGGTGGGGGGAGTGGGGAGTGATAGCATTAGGAGATATACCTAATGCTAAAAGACAAGTTAACGGGTGCAGCACACCAACATGGCACATGTATACATATGTAACAAACCTGCACATTGTGCATATGTACCCTAGAACTTAAAGTATAATAATTAAAAAAAAAGAATAAAGTTTGAGGCAGGTTTATAAAGCTATTTCAAAGGAAAAATAGGTCTGAAATTCATCTTTTATCTACTCTATTCTCTATGTGTAGATGTACTTCAAGAGAGTATGAGAGTTGAGGGCTCGATTACAAAGTAGGCAGTATATCTTTAAGCTCAAACTAACAAAAATAAGACTAATAATTTAGAAAGTTGGAAGAAGAGGCTGTGAGAAAATTATGAGTCGTAAAAATCTGAGTTATTGTATTAAAGTCTCTGGACACTTGATTGAGTTCTTAATTACTAAAAGAAATAAGTTTAATGTAAAAAAAATTAAGTTATATTGCAAGCAAACTATTAAGCAAAAACTGAGATTGACTACCCAAAAGGTATTTCCAAACAATTTCCCTGCTACTTTTGACTACAGAGGATTAAAATCTAAAACCCTACATTTCCTATCCTACCTTGTAGTTCTGCATAGATGGGAAATTCAATGTGGGTCTACGAGAAAATGATTAAGTCCTCTGTAAGATTTATCTAGATAGCTCTTTGTTTTCTTGAATAGAAGTAATAGATTTCGTTAAAACCCTACCATCTCTCCCTTCTACCTCCCTTAGATGGGACAATGATGCTTCGAATGAAGGCAGTGATCTTGTGACCATAATGGCATGGTGAAGAGGACTGAAGAGATTCTTTCCCAGATACCATCACTCCAACAGAAGCTGCCTACTGTGTAAGCCACTGTAAATCTAATCTTCATTGAGTCTAATATTTCCAATTAATAAAGTCAGTGAAAGAGTTGTAGTAACTTTAATTTCACAAAAATATTTAGGGAATTGGATTAATGTTGGAAACCCAAATTGAGGGGGGGTGGGGATAGAGGAGGACTGATTTCTAATCATTGAATACATTATATCATTGAATATCATTCTTATGCTCTGATGCAGGACCTCTGTCAGGTAGAGAGAGATAGGCTGAGTAAGTAGTCGTGGGGCAGACCCAACTCATGCTAGTGTGACAAAGATGTAATTATCAAATCAAAGTAAATAGTAAAGAGGTAAAAATGATGTAATTAGACAGGAGAAGACATGGTCTTAGGGAATAGGGACCTTAGAGATAAATAATGAATTTTTAATCTAATTTGTATCAAACATGCCTGAATTGCATTGTCAATGTTATGGATTAGGTTTTTGTATTAATGACTTCCATGTTTTCAGCAAATGCCCTTTCACTGAGGATGTCAAATTCATGAAAAGAATTTTGAAAGCCACCCCTTTCTGTATTTTCATGGCAGCTCTGTATCTGTACTCTGAATGTGTGAGCCGTCTGCCCGGCTCTTACAGGACCTTATTCATGTCAAGTAGACTACAGCATAAATAGCAGAGACAAGGACAAATGCAAGGTTTAGGATTCTTTGTTTGAGAAAGATACGAACAATAAAACTGCATATTCTACAAAATAAGGTGCTTCCCACTTGTGTCATCTGATGTCTTAAAATGTCTCTGTTATGATCCAGACTTTGCACTCAGATGTCCTCCAACTACCTTGCATGCAACTGAAAAAATAATTGACACTATTCTAGTTTATAGAGAAGGAATAGATTCTGGTTATATTGGACCATTAATTTGTTTAATGGTTGTGAATAGCTTCCGCCCTTCCTTAAGAACCGTCGTCACCACTAAAACTCTACTGCTTCCATTTGGGTGTTTGATTTGGGCGATTCCGCATGCTCCATAAGAAATAATTTAGTATGTCTGTGAGATAGATGACAGGGTTTGGATCTTTTCTCCTGGGAGATTTAACCTGGAAATTCTTTTTAATGCTAATGGCAGTTACTCATTTCAAGGCTGGCACATTGATGGAGGAATACACTCCTAAATCTGTTTTTACAGTTTGTGTATACTTCGAGGGATTTTACCACCATATGGTCCTTAAAGATTTGTTATCAGTCAATCCACAGTTGTTACAAAGTCAGATATATGTCGTTCATACAGGTATTCCACACCTCCAGCTTGAGAAAGAAACCTGAAATAAAGATGTTAACTGCTAAAGGAAAGTGAAGAGATGTAACCAGTGCGATAAGACTGATTCTCGCTTATCTTTACACTCCCCATACAACAGCAACCTGGTGAGCTATAGACGGCCACTGAATGAGTGATGTACACATTTTCTCTCTTTATGTGTCTACAAAGGAAAGACAGATATAAAGGACACCAGGAATGGTTGCTCTCTGGAATGAAAACTCGACTAGAAATTGGCATACAGCATTCCAATTAAGAAACCCAATTGCCCAGGTTCAAAATCTATCTGTGCCTCCTTCTAGCTACATAATCTTAGCAGAGTTATTTAATTTATCTTCGCTTCAGGTTCCTCATATGTGAAGTAGGTAAATAGTATTATAATTCATCCACTTCCAAATTAAAATAAGTTCATATATTTAAAATCCTTAAAGCAGTGCCTGCTGTAGAGTAAGCATAATTTAAGCTCTTATTACTACTTAGCTCACTATGTTATTAAGATTTGCACCTTTAAATAATTATTTAGAATTTTCTACCTGTTTTTAAGAAGATACTTGACTTTGCCTCACATCCTTTTTTTTAAGAAAATATGACAATATCTGTGAAGGTGTATTGAAGCATAAAAGTAATATAAGTGAAGATTACTATCCTTATAGCCACCCATCCAAAATATAGCAGTTTTAAAGTTAAGACACTATGTCTGGAAGCATTCACTCATTTCTTTCTTTAAGCCCAATTTCTGCATATGCAAAAAGCTCACTTACAAGGTATTATTTTAAATTATCTAAATATGGAGCTTTCTGTAAATCATAATTATATTCTTTTTTTATCTAGAAATTTGGTGTGGTATTTCCACAGATCTCATCACAATTCTCTTCCTATTTTAGCTACTAGAAATACTGTTAGCATTTCTTTTTTCAAACTTTGGACATCAGTGTTCTGAACAATAATAATAGTAAATTATAAAGTATCTGATAAAGTAGCCTGGGGATACATTTCTTCACATTGCAAAGGGGACTTCTAATATGTGATTAAGGTTATCTTGAGATGTGGAGATCATCATGGATTATCCAGGTGGGCCTAATCTAGTCACAAAATCCTGAAAAACAGAGACCCTTTTCCAGTGGTGGTCAGAGAGATGTGACAGTGGAAGAAAAGACAGGAGAGATCCAAAGTGTGAGAGGTATTCAATGCACCATTGCTGGCTTAAAGGTGCAGGAAGAAGTCACGAACCAAGGAATAAAAGCAGTCTCTAGAAACTAACACTGTACTGTACCTGACAGTGGGCAAGGAAATGAACACTTCATTCCTACAACCACAAGAAACTAAATTCTGCCAATAACCAGTTTGAGTGAAGAAATGGATTCTCTCCTAGAGCCTCCAAAAGGAAGCACAGTCTTACCAACAACACGATTGTAGCCCACTGAGACCCATTTTGGAAGTCTGACCTCTAGAACTGTAATATAATACATTTACATGGTTTTAAGCCTTTAAGTTGAGGGCAATTTATTACAACAACAATAGAACACTAATGGTTCAACATATGGTATACACTATGTGTTTATTCTTTTTATTATTTTGCTAATTATATTATTACTAATTAGTACAACCATGCAATACCTAGGAGATTTCTTGGTCCTTTATTTGCGCACGTGTAGCTGATCCTACCGATTGATTTCTGAGCTCTGCTCTATGTCCTGGTATTTGGATACTCACAGAAGCAATAATGAACTTAAAGAAATAATTCTCTGAGAAGATAAGCAGAAATAGAATGGTAATTATTAACCTTGGGACAAGTGAATATTTGGGGGCTTTGGGTAACTTCAGTTACCAGCCAAAGCCAGCTGTGAGCCAACATAGAGAAAGCTATCATGATTAGTTATTTTTGAAAATTCTAGAGGTTTCTCAAAAATTGAATTTCTTGAGAAACTCGGATCCTCAAAAAAGCTATTCGGTTCCAAATTGGGGTTTAAGCAACTAAGCAAGAACAGTCACTCCCAAATTCTTTTTGGTCCACAACAGCATTTAAATTGGTCCCTGAAATACCACTTCAGTAATTTCTGAGTGCTCCATATTGACCATGAAGGACTATGATGTCCCCAGAAAACTACGAATCGGCACTTTCCAGGCACTAGTGAAGACTTTCCTGGTCACCCTATCTAAATTGCAACTTTTTCAAGACTATTGATTCTCCTGCCTTACTACATTTTTTCTCCTCAACACTTAACACACTATAACATAAATGTAATGAGGAATCTGACCCCATTTTTTGATGTCTGACTGCTGACAGGTTTTAAGTCTCACTCCTCCCTCTTTTCCTTGTGCCCAACATGTGGGCAAGCTGATAAAGTCTGGCTGCACCCTCCTTTGGCACCAGCAGGAGATTTAATCTATGAAAGCCCCACCCACATGCAGAAATTTTCACCTGACTTGAACCCCTAACCCTTTGCCCACTCAAGCCCTTTCAGACTTGCTAGGAGAGTCTTGCCCTGCTCTCGCCAGGAACCTCAACTAGGTAATAGATCTTTTCATATCCTCTTTGTGCACCTGTAGCATCATTAGTCTCAATATCCCAACAAAATTTTAGGTTGAGGGTTCATCCCAATTTTAGAGAGTAGCTATACAACAGAATATATTTCCTAACATATCTTCTTATTCGTCTGTATTTCACTTTAGATTATAAATTCCATGAGGGAACATATTCTGTGTTGTTCACTGCACCCAGAACAGTGAGTAGCATATATAAGGAACTGAATCAGCTGGGATTGTGTATTTGCATGTGTGTACATGTGTATGTCAATTATTTCTTTCTTGGTACAGTAGGTACTCATGGAGCAAAAATGATCACCCAAACCATACACCTATTTCTTTTGCAATGAAATATAGTTTACAAACCTCCAAATTAGAAGACATTATAGAATTTTATGCACCCCCACCAAAAAATATTGAAAGTCAAACATACTTTAAGAACTAACGTATAATACCAAATAGGATAAACTTGGTATCTACATTATTTATTTAAGAAATACTTGTTAGGCATAACATACAAGGCAGTACTATAAGTACTAGGGATCCCATGTTAAGTAAGACAGAGATAAGAGCCTTGATTTTATGAAACTTACTGACATTTTAGCTGTCTTTCTCATTTTCTTTTTTAAAAGTGAAGATATTAGATTCTGTATTTTACTACCTAAGAGCTCATTTTTAAATGTTAAAAATTAGTACATTGCTTAGTTTCCTAAAAAGTAATATTTGTTTTTAATCAATTATCCAATATAATCAATTGGTGAGACAGAGTTAACACCATTCACTACAACTACCTCTTTCCTGAACATGCAAGAAGAATGCAATTCCTGCACTTAGGTTGAAGGCTGTATGACTGGGTTCTGGTCGATGATAAATTAATTGTAAGCTATTTCCACTCTTGGCTTTACAATTTAGCCATTCAATACTCTTAGCCTTCTAGAGAGACCTCAAAAGCCATTTATTTTAGATGATTTCACAATAAAGTACAAGCTATCTGGGCCAATTGATCACCCTTTGGAGAGGAGCCATTAACAATAGCTCTCATTAATGACTGTCAGATGATCAAAAAATCAAAGTTTACAGTGTTAAGGCTTTGAGATGTAGAGGTTGATTGTTACTGCAGCAGACTCTAGACTAGGCAGACATGTCAGTAAAATGAGATATTACTTCTCTGCTTCTTTCTATACCTAATACAATTGTTGGCCATGTCTCTTTAATAATGATATCTCTTGACATCAGTAATTACATTGACCACTCACCACTTTAAAGAACATTTTAAGAATAATTAGTGCAAATATTAATGTAAATTTCAAACTCTGCTCATTTCATGGCTGTGATATTAACATATTCATTCATTATTGACTGGATTGGCTGTTCAATTTGAGTCGCTCGAATGTTGAATATTTCCAAGAAGAATTAAAGCCTGTTTGTATTTTACTACTGTTACATAGAGGTGAAAATAAAGGCACTGCCTTAAATATTTCTATTAATCATTTGGCTCCCTTCTCATTTTCCTTAGCTGCAGGGAATTGCCCTCTGTGGGTCCTGAGGTACCCAGCACTCCTAGGTGATAATTACTTGAGATTAAAAGCCGAAGACCAACAGGCCTTAAAGTGTTTAATGGGGCAAAATAACAAGGCTGATGTAGAGACTTCTCTGAGCTTGTAGCTGAGATGGTCTGGGAAACAGATGAATCTAGCTTCCTAGGAAGGGTCCCGACCTGAACTTATGCTATTCATGTGTCAAGAAACTCGAGGAGTTGGTGAATCGACATTTCTATTTCAGGAGCAGCTCTTGAAGAAATATGAAAAGCACTTGAAGAGGGCAGCTCTTAGAAATGTGTCAATGGACGTTTTTCATCAATTTTACTTTAAATTCATAACATTTTCATGAGTTTGGGAGAATCTTCATGGTGACATGTGTTAGATTAATATTATACACATTTGGAATAGACCCTGGACACTATTTTTGGGCCCCAATGCCTTGATCTCCTAGTGATAGGCTGATTGAAACACTCAACTATGAGAAAGCAGTTTCTCAGAAATTAGGAATTGAGATTTAGAGATCTTAATGAGTCTGTCTTTAGAGTGTGAGTTGAGATATATGCAAACTTTTGCTACACATCTTCTCCCATGTGGAAAGAAATATCACTGATCTACAGAGAGATAACCTGGAACAGACATCAGCAGAGAAGTAGAAATAATAGACTACATAATCCCATAGAAAGAGACATGCAAGCGTAGCTCTTTTTGTTTCAGTTTCTAATAGCTAATTCTCTCTGACACTAAAAATGGTGGTGATTTAGTGTTTCTCTGACACTAAAAATGGTGGTGGTGATACAATTTTATAATTTGAACTTTTTTTGGTCAAAGGTGTTGAACAACAAAACCACTAAAAAAAGAAGCATATTTAGAATTGGCTTAAAAACAATACTAAGATTAGCTTGTGTCATCTTTCTCATATTTAAATAACCAATCAGTTCCACCTTTAACCTACCATAGTGTAATTAGGCACTGGGGAATAAAATGAGTAACATGTGATATTAGACAACAATGTAACACCCAGTCAGTGGTAAATTCCATGTAAAAATAGTTATATCATGGCTTTATGGTAAGTATGGCTATTTGTGTGACTTGGTTGGATTGGGGTCACCAGAAACTGCAAACTGAGAAATACACAATAGATGTTTCTCCCAGTTCTTTCTCTTCTTGTTGGTCTTTTTGTAGCAAGTTTCTCTGGCAAAGGGAAAAGGAGCAATGGATGTTACGATTTGGGAAACTGCTTTCTAATTTCAATGTTCAGCAACCAGAGCGCTCACTGAGATTTATTTGCAGCAAGGAAATTGTTTGGGGAACATAATTTTTACAGGACATAACAGCACTATATGCTTTTCACAGCTTCCACTGATAACATTTGTGACACTTAAGGGGAAAGTGCAAACTTTTACAAAGCTACAAAACAGGCCTCTAAGGGGAATGATTTTAGTTCAGTTAATAAAAGGTCTCAGAGTATTTCAAGCTTAAAAAGGGGCAAAGAATGAAGACGAAGACATCAGGAAAATCCTACTCTCAAAATAAATTTCCCTGTATCCCAGAAGAGGGAGAGTTGAAAAGTGGCAGACTACATAAGGAACTCATGCAGGTCTTGTGGAATATTTTCTCTAACCTACTTCCATTTAATTTTATGTTGCAGTGATACAGAGAATACTGGAAAGATTTTTTCAGGCTTCCTGCTCTTTAACTTTAAGTTAGAGTTATATTGAAGAGAAAAATAAAAGAAAGAAGGCAAAAGAAAAGAAGACATTTTAGGAACAGGTATTTCTAAAAAGGATAGGGTTATCATGAAAGCCTATGAAAGTAAAATAAAGTGCTACACATTTTGACCTTTGCCATATGGGCATTATAATTAATAAATGTAATTTTGTAGTTGAATAAGAAGGACTTTATTTCTTTTTTTTATAATTTCATTTTTTTTTTAAGAGATGGAATCTCACTATGTTGACCAGGCTGGTCTTGAACTCCTGGCCTCAAGAGATCCTCCCATCTTGGCCTCCCAAAGTGCTGGGATTACAGGCATGAGCCACCATGCCTTGCCAAAGAAGGACTTTACATTGGAAATCAGATAAGTAGCTGTGAAAAATCTGGCACGTTAAATAGCTTACCTATTCCTTAGTTATAATACTGTTAAATGAAAAACAGGAAACAAACTAAATGCTTCAACTTTAGGCGTATCTATATTACATTCAACAAAATGTATTGCATGCCTATTTGACTGTGGTAGTCACCCCACCCCCAAGATACTTTGTATAACCTTTAAAAATATTCTATAGTTGATAACAGTTTTCAGAGTATTTCTGACGATTAAACATAACATTTGGAAGCATATAACACAGTCCTAAGAATAAGACTGAGAGTCAGAATTCAAAATATCAAAACTATTTTAAATATAACTCAAGTGATAGTTAATTTAAGTTGCACTATTTCCCGCAACACATAACTAAAATGAATAGGCTCAAAATACACTCTTGAAATAGAGATGTGTAAAGGTATGTTCAAGGAGTTGTAGATAGTAAGAGGATGGGTGAAAATTCAAACATAACATTTGTGATGTAAGTTGAGTACTGTCTCCACTTTACCAATTTTCTCATAATCTAATAAAATAATGTATAGGAAAATGTTTTCCTTTTTATAGTTTTTTATGTTTTTAAAAAATTTTTTGTAGTGTACATAGTAGGTGTGTACATGTAATGGGTACATGAGATGTTCTGATATAGGCATGTGATGTGAAACGAGAATATCACAAAGAATGGGGCATCCATCGGCCCAAGCACCTATCCATTGAGCTGCAATGCCACCAATATTAGGTCTTATTCATTCTTTCTAACTAGTTATTTTATACCCATTAATCAGCCCAGCCCCCTACCACACTTTCCAGTCTCTGGTAACCATCCTTCTACTCTCCATGTACGTAAGTACAATTGGTTTGATTTTTAGATCCCACAAATAAGAGAGAACATGTGATGTTTGTCTTTCTGTGCCTGGTTTATTTCACTTAAAATAATGATCTCCAGTTCCATCCATGTTGCAAATGATTGGATCTTATTTCTTTTTATGGATGAATAGTACTCCATTGTGTATATGTACTGTATTTTCTATATCCATTCGTCTGTCCATGGACACTTATGTTGCTTCCAGATCTTAGCTTATTGTAAACAGTGCTGCAACAAACATAGGAGTGCAGATATTTCTTTGATATACTGATTTCCTTTCCTTTCTACCCAGCAGTGGGATTGCCTGATCCTATGGTAGCTCTATTTTTAGTTTTTTTTTTTTTTTTTTTTTTGAGGAATCTGCAAACTGTTCTCCATAGTGGTTGTATTAATTTACATTCCCATTAAACATACACAAGTGTTCCCTTTTCTCCACATCCTCACTAGCATTTGCTGTTGCTTGTCTTTTGGATATAAGCCATTTTAGCAGGGTTGAGATGGTATCTCATTATAGTTTTGATTTGCATTTCTCTGATAATGATTTTGAGCTCCTTTTCATATCCCTGTTTGTTATTTGTATCTCCTATTTTGAGAAAGTTCTCTTCAAATATTTTGCCCATCTTTTGATCAAATTATTAGATGTTTTCCTATAGAATGTTTGAGATCTTAATATAGTGTGGTTATTAATCCCTTGTCAGATAGGTAGTTTGCAAATATTTTCTCCCATTCTGTGGCTGTTTCTTCACTTTGTTGATTGTATGCTTTGGTGTGCAGAAGCTTTTTAACTTGACATGATACCATTTGCTCATTTTTTCTTTGGTTGTCTGTGCTTACAGGGTATCACTCAAATTCTTGCCCAGACCAATGTCCTAAGTATTTTCCTCAATGTTTTCTTATAGTAGTTTCATGGTTTGAGGTGTTGATGTAATTCTTTAATTCATTTTTATTTTATTTTTGTATATGGTGAGAAATAGGGGTACAGTTTCATTCATTTGCATATAGACACCCAGTTGTCCTAGCACAATTTATTGAAGGGACTTTCCTTTCCTTACTGTTATGTTCTGGCACCTTTGTCTAAAATAAGTTACTGTAGGTGTGGGGACTGTTTTATGGGTTCTCCATTCTGTTTCATTGTTCTATCTGTCTGTGTTTATGCCAGTGCCATGCTGTTTTGGTTACAAAAGTTCTGTAGTATAATCTGAAGCCAGGTAATTCCTCCAATTATGTTCTTTTAGCTTGGAATAGCTTTGGCTATTCTGGGTCTTTTGTGGTTCCATATAAGTTTTAAGATCTTTTTTTCTATTTCTGTGAAGAATGTCATTTGTATTTTGATAAGGATTTCATCGAATCTGTAGATTGCTTTGGTAGTATGGACATTTTAACAGTTTTGATTCTTCCAATCCATGAACATAGAATATTTTTCAATGATTTTGTATCCTCCTCAATTTTTTTCATCAGTGCTTTACAGTTTTCATTATAGACAACTTTCACTTTGTTGGTTAATTCTTAGATATTTAATTTTATGTGTGGCTAGTGTAAATTGGATTACTTTTAAATTTATTTTTCATTGTTCACTGTTGGCATATAGAAATGAGACTGATTTTTGTATGTTGATTTTGCATCTTGAAATGAGTGAATTTGTTTATAAGTTCCAATAGTTTTCCTGTGGAGTCTTTAGGTTTTTCCAAATTTAAGATTATATCATCTGCAAACAAGGATACTTGGACTTCTTCCTTTCCAATTTGGGTGCCCTTTATATCTTTCTCTTGTCCTACTGCTTTAGCTAGATCTTTCAGTAATATGCTGAATAACAGTGGTGACAATGGGCATTCTTATTATGTTCCAGATATTAGAGGAAGGGCTTTCAGTTTTTCTCCATTCAGTATGATGCTAACTGTGGATTTGTTATTTATGGTTTTATTATTCTAGAGTATGTTCCTTCTAATACCAGTTTTTTGAGGGTGTTTATCATGAAGGGATGTTGAATTTTATCAAATGTTTTTCAGCTTCAGTTGAAATGATAAGGTTTTTATCCTTCATTCTGTTGATATGATGTATCACACTGAGTGAGTTGTATATGTTGAACCATCCTTCCATACCATCGACAAATCCCATGATCATGATCAATTGTCTTTCTATTGTATTGTTTAATTTGTTTGCTAGCATTTTGTTGAGAATTTTTGCACCAATATTTACTAGAGATATTGGACTCTAGTTTTTCCTCTCCTCCCCTCCCCTCCTCTCCTCTTCTTTCCTTTCCTCCCTTCCTTCCTCCTTCTTTCGTTCGTTTTTGGGTGGCTTTGGTATTAAGGTACCCTGTACTACTTGTAGAATGAGTTTGGAAGTATTATCTCCTCCTCTGTTTTTCAAAATATTTTGAGTAGAATTGGTATTAGTTCTTCTTTAAATGTTTGCTAGAATTTAGTAGTGACGCCATTAGGTCTTGGGCTTTTACTTTTTATTACAGCTTCAATCTCGTTACTTGTTATTGGTTTGTTCAGGTTTTGGATTTCTTCCTGGTTTAATCTTGGTAGGTTGTATGTTTCTAGGAATTCATCCATTTCTTCTAGATTTTCCAATTTAATGGCATATAGTTGCTCATAGTAGCAACCAATGACCCTTTAAATTTCTGCATTATCAATTGTAATGTCTGCTTTTTCATTTCTGATTTTATTCATTTGGATCTTTTCGTTTTCATAGTCAGATTTAAGGTTTGTCAATTTTGTTTAACTTTTCAAAAAAAACATTTTTTCATTGAATTTTTAATTTTTTTTACTTCAGTTTTATTTATTTCTGCTCTAATTTTTATTATTTATTTTCCTGTGCTGGTTTTAGTTAGGTTTGCTCTTGCTTCTCCAGTTCTTCAAGGTACATCATTGGATTGTTTATTTGAAGTTTTTTCCTTTCTTTGATGTAGGCACTTATAGCTACAAAGTTCCTTATAGCTATAAAGCTTAAAGCTATAAACTTTCCTCGTAGTACTTCTTTTGCTGTATCCCATAGGTTTTGGCATGTTATGTTATTATAATCGTTTGTTTCAAAAATATTTTCAGTTTTCTTCTTAATATCTCATTGGCCCACTGGTTATTCAGGAGGATATTGTTTAATTTCCATGTATTTCTATGATTTATAAAATTTCTCTTCTATTTAATTTGTAGTTTGATTCCATCTGAGAAGATGGATGTTATTATTTTAGCTTTGCTGAATGTTTTAAGGCTTGTTTTGTGACCTAACATGTGGTCTGTCCTTTGAGAATGATGCATATGGTGAGGGAAAAAAAAATGTGTATTGTGCACCCATTGGATGAAATGTTCTGTTAATATCTATTAGGTCCATTTGGCCTACAGTGCAGATTAAGTCTGTTGTTTCTTTGTTTATTTTCTGCCTGGAAGATCTGTCCAGTGCTGAAAGTGGGGTGTTGAAGTGTCCAGCTATTATTGTATTGGGGCCTATAGCTCTCTTTACTCTAATAAAATTTCCTTTTTACATCCAGCTGCTCCCATGTCTGCTGCAAATATATTTAAACTAGTTGTATCCTTTTGCTGAATTTAACCCTTTATCATTATATAGTGACCTTCTTTGTCTCTTTTTATAGTTTTTTCTTCAAATCTCTTTTGTCTGCTGTAAGATTAGCAACTCTTGCTCTGTTTTGGTTTCCACTGGCATGAAATTTCCTTTTTAAAATTTTATTTTTTTTTACTACTTCATAATTTAAGTTATGGGATACATGAGCAGAACGTGTAGGTTTGTTACATAAGTATTCGTGTGCCACAGTGGTTTGCTGCACCTGTCAACCCGTCACCTAGGGTTTAAGCCCCCCATGCATTAGGTATTTGTCCTGATGCTCTCCCTCCTTTGCCCTCCGTTGACAGGCCCAGGTGTGTGTTGTTCCCCTCCCTGTGTACGTGTGTTCTCATTGTTCAACTCCTTCCTAATAATGAGAACATGTGATGTTTGGTTTTCTGTTCCTGTGTTAGTTTTCTGAGAATAGTGGCTTCCAGCTTCATCCATGTCCCTGCAAAGGACATGATCTCATTCATTTTTGTAGCAGCATATTATTCCATGGTGTATATATTTACCACATTTTCTTTATCCACTCTATCAATGATGGGCATTTGGGTTGGTTCAATGTCTTTGCTCTTGTGAATAGTGCTGCAATAAACATACATATGGATGTATCTTTATAACAGAATGATTTATATTCCTTTGGGTATATACCCAGTAATGGGATTGCTAGGTCAAATAGTATTTCTGGTTCTAGATCCTTGAGGAATTGCCATACTGTTTTCCAAAATGATTGAACTAATTTACATTCCCACTGACAATATAGAAGTGTTTCTATTTCTCCACAACTTTGCCACCATTTATTGTTTCTTGAATTTTTAATAATCGCCATTCTGACTGGCATGAGATGGTATCTCATTTTGATGTTCATTTGCATTTATCTAATGATCAGTGGTGTTGAGCTTTCTTTCCTATGTTTGTTGGCTGTATAAATAAATGTCTTCTGTCTGTTCATATCCTTTGCCCACTTTTTGATGGGGTTGTTTTCCCTTTTCCTTTTCTATTCTTTTTTTTTTTTTGAGATGGAGTCTCACCCTATTGCCCAGGCTGGAGTGCAATGGTGTGATCTCGGCTCACTCCAACCTTCTCCTCCTGGGTTCAAGCGATTCTCCTGCTTCAGTCTCCCAAGTAGCTGGGATTACAGGTGCGTGCCACCACACCTGGCTAATTTTTTGTATCTTTAGTAGAGATGGAGTTTAACCATGTTGGCCAAACTAGTCTCAAAATCCTGACCTCGTGATCTGCCTGCTTCAGCCTCCCAAAGTGCTGGGATTACAGGTGTGAGCCACTGCGCTCAGCCTGTTTATTCCTGTAAACTTGTTTAAGTTCCTTGTAAATTCTGGATATTAGACCTTTGTCAGATGGGTAGATTGCAAAAGTTTTCTCCCATTCTATAGGTTGCCCGTTCACTCTGATGATAGTTTCTTTTGCTTTGCAGAAGTTCTTTAATTTCATTAGTTCCCACTTGTCAATTTTAGCATTTGTTGCTTTCGGCCATTTCTTTATTTAGCAATTCTTTAGGCCATTTCTTTATAAAATCTTTGCCCATGCCTATGCCCTGAATGGTATTGCATAGGTTTTCTTCCAGGGTTTTTATGGTTTGGAGTTGTACATTTAAGTCTTTAATCCATCTTTAGTTAATTTTTGTATAAAGTGTAAAGAAGTGGTCCCATTTCAGTTTTCTGAATATGGCTCCCAGTTTTCCCACTACCATTTATTAAATGGGGAATCCTTTTCCCATTGCTTGTTTTTGTCAGGTTTGTTGAAGATCAGATGGTTGTAGATGTGTGGTCTTATATCTGAGGTCACTATTCTGTTCCATTGGTCTATATGTCTGTTTTGGTACCAGTACCATGCTGTTTTGGTTACTGTAGCCTTGTAGTATAGTTTGAAATCGGGTAGCACAATGTCCCCAGCTTTGTTCTTTTTGCTTGGGATTGTCTTGGATATGTGAGCTCTCTTGGTTTTATATGAATTTTAATGTAGTTTTTTTCTAATTCTGTGAGGAATGTCAATGTTAGTTGGATGAAAACAGCATTGAATCTATAAATTACTTTGGGCAGTATGGCCATTGTCATTGACTTTTTTCTATTCATGAGAATGGAACGTGTTTCTATTTGTTTGTGTTCTGTCTTATTTCCTTGAGCTGTGGTTTGTAGTTTTCTTCAAAGAGGTCTTTCATGTCCTTTGTTAGCTGTATTCCTAGCTATTTTATTCTCTTTGTAAGAATTGTCAATGGGAGTTCTGTGGCACATCTAAAAAAAAGCTTATCCACCGTGATCAAGTTGGCTTCATCCCTGAAATGCAAGGCTGTTTTAATATATGCAAATTAATAAACATTATCTATCACATAAACAGAACCAATGACAAAAACCACATGATTATGTCAATAGATACAGAAAGGACTTTGATAAAATTCAACATCCCTTCATTTTAAAAACTCTCAATAACTAGGTATTGATGGAATGTATCTCAAAATAATAAGAGCTATTTATGACAAACCCACAGCCAATATCATACTGAAAGAGCAAAAGCAGGAGGCATCCCCTTTGAAAACTGGCACAAGAAAAGGATGCCCTCTCTCACCACTTCTATTCAACATAGTATTGATAGTTCTAACCAGGGCAATCAGGCAAGAGAAATAAATAAGGTGTATTCAAATAGGGAGAGAGGAAGTCAAATTGTCTCTGTTTGCAGATGATATGATCCTATATTTAGAAAATCTCATTGTCTCAGCCCAAATACTCCTTAAGTTGATAAGCAACTTTGGTAAAGTCTCAGGATACAAAATCAATGTGCAAAAATTACAAGCTTTCCTATCCACCAACAATAGACAATCAGAGAGTCATATCATGGAATTTTTTTCATCCCTTTATTTTCAGTCTATGTGCATCTTTATAGGTGAAGTGTGTTTCTTTTGGGCAACAGATCAATGGATTTTATTTTTTCATTTATTCAGCCAATCTATGTCTTTTGAGTGGAGAGTTTAGTCCATTTGCATTCAATGTTATTAATAAGTAAGGACTTACTCCTGCTGAATTATTATTTGTTTTCTGCTTTTCTTGTGATCTTCACTTCTTTCTTAAATTTATCTGTCTTCCTCTAGTTATGATGATTTTTCTCTTGTGATTTCATGTAGTCTTGCTTTTAATTTTTTGTGTATCCATTGTATGTTATTTTATTTGAGGTTACCATGAAGTTTGCAAATACTATCTTTTAATTCATTGTAATTTGATAACAACTTAACACTATTTGTATAAACAAACAAGGAAGCAAAAAGAAAGTTAGAAAAACTTGCCTTATAAAAGTTATAAAAACTTTGTCACCCCACTTTTTAATTTTTTGCTTTTTCTATTTATATTTTGTTGCACTGTGTGTTGAAAAGTTGTAGTTATTATTTTTGATTAGTTCATCATTTAGTGTTTCTACTTAGAGTAAGAGTAGTTTACACACCGCATTTACAGTGCTATAATATTCTTTGTTTTTCTGTGTACTTACTATTACCAGTAAGATGTTTTCTTTCTTTTTTTTACCTTCAGGTGATTATTTATTGCTCATTAATGTCCTTTTCTCTCTGACTGAAGTACTCTCTTAAGCATTTATTGTAGGACATGTCTGCTTTTGATGAAATCCCTCAGCTTTTGTGTGTATAGGAAAGGCTTTATTTCTCCATCAGGATAAAATGATATTTCTGCCAGATATTCTACTACAGGGCAAAAGGTTTTTACCTGCAGCACTTTAAATATGTCATGCCACCCTCTCTTGGCCTGTAAGGTTTCCACTGAAAAGTCTGCTGCCAGATGTATTGGAGCTCAATTGTATGTTATTTTTTTTCTCTTGCTGCTTTTGGGATCCTTCTTTATCTCTGACCTTTGAAATTCTGATTATTAAATGCCTTGTTGCAGTCTTCTTTGGGTTAAATCTTCTTGGTGTTCTATAACCTCCCTGTACCTGGATGTTGATATGTTTCTCTAGGTTTAGGATGTTTTCTGTCATTATACTTTTGAATAAACTTTCTACCCCGTCTCTTTCTCTACCTTCTCATTAAGGCCAATAAAGCTTAGATTTGCCCTTTTGAGGTTATTTTCTAGAGCTTGTAGGCATGCTTTTTTAATTCTTTTTTTTCTTTCTACCCCTATCTTTTTCTCCACCTTCTCATAAAGACCAGTAAAGCTTAGATTTGCAATTTTGAGGTTATTTTCTAGAGGTTGTAGGCATGTTTTTATTCTTTCTTTTTCTTTTTTATTCTCTGAATATATTTTTAAATATCTTGTGTTTAAGCTGACTAATTATTTATTCTCCTTGATCCATTCTGCTGTTAAAGGACTCTGATGTATTCTTCAGTATGTCAATTGCATTATTTAGCTCCACAATTTCTGCTTGACTCTTTTTAATTATTTCAATCTCTTTGTTAAATTTATCTGATAGAATTCTGAATTATTTATCTGTGTTATCTTCAATTTCTTTGTTTCCTCAACACAGCTATTTTGAATTCTCTGTCTGAAAGGTCGCATCTATTTGTTTCTCCAGGATTAGTCCCTGGTGACTTATTTAGTTCATTTAGTGAGATCACGTTTTCCTGTATGATCCTGATACTTGTAGATGTTTGTCTGTATCTGGTCATTTAAGAGTGAGGTATTTATTGTAGTCTTCACTATCTGGGTGTGTTTGTACCTATCTTTCTTGGGAAGGCTTTCCAGATATTTAAAAGGAGTTGAGTGTTTTAATCTAAGCTGATTTTGCTTTAGAGGGCACCTCAAGTCCAGTAACACTGTGGTTTTTGCATACTTGTAGGGGTACTGCCTTGATGGTCTTGGACAAGATTGAGGATAATTCTCTGGGTTACCAAGCAGAGACTCTTGTTCTCTTCCCTTAATTTCTCCAAGACCAAGTTTCTGTCTCTCTTTTTCTAAGCCACCTAACACTGGGGGTGGAGTGACAGACACAAGCACCTCTGTGGCCACCATCACTATTACTGCTCTGGGTCAGAGCTGAAGCCAGCACCGTGCTGAAGGCCTGCTATAACTACTCTTTGGCTACTATTTATGTCCACTCAAGGCCCAGGGAATCTACAATAGGCATGTGGTAAAACCAGCTAGGCATGTGTCCTCTTGTATTAGTCTGTTTTTACACTGCCATGATGAAATACCTGAGAATGGGTAATTTATAAAGGAAAAAGGTTTAATTGACTCATTGTTCCGTGTTGCTGAGAAGGCCTCAGGAAACTTATAATCATGGTGGAAGACAAAGGAGAGACAGACACCTTCTTCACAGGGCAGCAGAATGGAGTCAATGCAAGCAGGGGAAATGCCAGATGCTTATAAAATCATCAGATATTGTGATATTCACTCATTATCATGAGAACAGCATGCGGGAACTGCCCCCATGATCTAATTACTTCCCACCTGGTCCCTCCCATGACACGTGCGGATTACGTGAACTACAAGTCAAGATGAGATTTGGATGGCGACACAGCAAAACCATATCACTTCCCCTTCAGGGAGGTGAAATCCCTTATCCTAAGGTGGGTCCAGAAGTGCCATCTAGGAGTCAGAAACTAGAGTAAAAAACCTTAGAATTCTTCCTGGTGTTCTATTGTATTGTGGGCTGAGCTGGCAACTCACACCACAAAATACAGTTCTTCCTGCTCTTCTCTCCCATTTCAGAAGGGAGACAAGCCTCGCCCCATAGGCACCACCACTCCTGGTCAGAAAGAGTACTGCCAAGCTACCACTAATGTTCTCTTAATGCCTAAGGTCTCTTAAGTCAGCTTGTGAATGCTGCCTGGCCTGGGACTCACCCTTCATAACAGTGGGCTCCCCCATGGCTCAGGGCAGGTCCAGAAATGCTGTCCAAGATTTAAGTCCTGGAATTAGGAACCCAAAAGCCCACTTGGTGTTCTACCCACCAAGGCCATGCTGGTACCTAAGGTGCAAGACGAAGTCCTTTTTACTTTCCCCTCTGCTTTTCTCAAGCAGAAGGCCTGTTGCCCCATATCCACCACAGCTGGTAAGGTTCTGAGTCTCACCTGAAGCCAGCAAGTCTCAGAGGCTCACCAAGGCCCTTGATGTAGTACCTGGATATTGTTGCTGATTATTTAGAGCCCTAGGGCTCTTCAGTTAGCAGTAAGGCAGTGGGTTCCCTTCTAGCCAAGGGTGTATCTGGAAATGTAATCTGGGAGCTAGGGCCTAAATAAGGGGCCTTATGATTCTGACAGGTGCCTATCCTGCCATGGCTGAGCTGGTATCTAAGATGCAAGACAAAGTCCTCCTCATTCTTTTCTCTCCTCCCCTCAAGCAAAAGGAAGAGATATCTTTTGGAGCTTCCGTAACCTGGAGTTAGGGAAGGGGTAATGCCAGGACTCCTCCGGCTGCCTCAGTATGTCTCAGTATATTGCCTGTGCCCCACACAGTCCACCGTCTCTGGGACTACTTCAGCCTTAGGACACACCTAAGAGCTTCAGCTTCAGTCCTTACAGCCTACCTAGACTGTCTTTCAACTTTACTTAAAGACTGAGTGCACTTTGGCCCTGGGTGGTGAGGTTTGTGGGCACTCAAGTTTTCACCACTGGGGGAGATAATTCCCCTCTGGCTAGGGTTGGTTTAAACGCCCCTTCTGTGGGCAGGCAACAATTGAGTTTGGTCCAGTACTCCTTGCTTCTCTAACAAAACAGCAATAAGTTCTATGCCTCACAATTGCTGTTTTCTCCTCCGCATGACCAAGAGAAGCTCTCTGCACCAAGCCTCCGCTACCAGGGGTGGGCGGTGGTGGTAGGGGTGCCGTCAAGGATTCTGGCCTGTTTTTTAAAAATCTCTTCATTGCCTCTTTTAGCGATATGAAGTTAAAACCAGGTACGGCCGGGCGCGGTGGCTCACGCCTGTAATCCCAGCACTTTGGGAGGCCGAGGCGGGCGGATGACGAGGTCAGGAGATCGAGACCATCCCGGCTAAAACGGTGAAACCCCGTCTCTACTAAAAATACAAAAAAATTAGCCGGACGTAGTGGCGGGTGCCTGTAGTCCCAGCTACTTGGGAGGCTGAGGCAGGAGAATGGCGTGAACCCGGGAGGCGGAGCTTGCAGTGAGCCGAGATCCCGCCACTGCACTCCAGCCTGGGCAACAGAGCGAGACTCCGTCTCAAAAAAAAAAAAAAAAAAAAAAAAAACCAGGTACTATGAATGCTCATATGACTTTTGGTTCTTATGAAGGTGTTTTATCGGTGTAGATAGCTGTTAACTTGGTGTCCTTGTGAGGGGGACAATCAGTGGAACTTTCTAGTCACCATCTTGCTCCACCTCTGTGTGAAAATGTTTTCTTAAGTGAAAAATAGTACAAAGTGTCTATCTGATAGTGACAGGAGACAGACAAATTTCCAGGTAGACAGGGATGGGTCACCTGTGAAACCCAACCTTCAAGTCAAAGGTGGCCTGAAACCTAAAAGTCGAACTTCTTGTTCTGGATAGAATCCATGAACAGAGTGAAAACTTTTATCCCTGTCTCACCCTCTCTCTCTCGATTGGTTCCTTTGAGATGATGCCTTTTAACCATTTGAATGGTGCTTTTTCCAAGACCATAAGAAAGCTGAAATGCTTTGACTATATGTTAAAGACAGATGGTATAAATGTGATTTGGGGAGAGAGGTGGAAGTGGGGCAAATCAACTAAGCTGTCAGCCTCAGAATTGCAAAGAAAGCAGACTGGGAACTCACATATATTGTGGAAGCCTTGGTAGCTAGCAGTTGTCTCTTCTCTTCTCTTGTCTGCATGTGTGTGTGTGTGTGTGTGTGTGTGTGTATATATATATATATATATATATATATATATAGAGAGAGAGAGAGAGAGAGAGAGAGAGAGGGAGAGAGATATTTCAGAAGCATTGGCCCATTAGGAAAGTTAAATATTTGTCTATTAATTCCTGTTAGGGCCATAATTTTCACATTGAGTCTGATTATAGCATTAAAGCTGCTTATCATACAATCAATAATAAAACACAGTTTTACAGTCTATTCTGTATTATGAGAAAATGAGAACTATACTTGGGCTGATTTTCAAGTGTGCATCATTTACCATAGGAACACTCTAAATATGTTCCTGCTCCATTTTTTTTTTATTGAAGCTGGATGCAATATATGGAGACTATAGTTTATCTGCAATGTGGTAACCTTAACAGGTAAGCACTAGAGAAAAGAGTAGATTTATATAAGGAATCACTTTGAGCTTAACAATATTGAATAAACTTTATATTTTGAAAAGAAAAAAAAAGACTGAATGTGATTTACAATGTTTATGATACTTACTTTACTGTAAGGAATTGTTATATTCATTAACATTTTTTCTTCCCACTTTTGCTTTTTCACTTTTTTTTTTGAATATAAAATTTCTTTCCTGAATGGGCATAAGCAAAAATACGGGCAGAAAGATCAGGCAAATTTGTACTATTTTGGCCACCTTAGGGATTATGCCTTCTCTAAAGGTAGAGGAGTTGCCAATCAGATTTTTCAAAATCCATCAGGTTATGTTAGTGTCCAGTGTCTGTTAAGGTCAGGTTCCAGGTAGGGGCAACCCCTTTTACCTATCGTACCCTATTAGTTAAGCACATCTAAAGATACCCCAATATATTCTTCCTCTTATATATCTGGCCCTTACTGGTAGAGTCTAAGTCACTCATCTTGTAGTAGTAGGGTCTGAGCACTGTGCTCTATGCTGCATGTTCACCTTGCCTTAGGATGGATAAATCCAACCAAAGGCATCACCACAGACCTAGACATCTTAGACTTAAGGGAGAAGAAGTAGGATGCAAGAGGCTGGCGCGAATTTTTTTTTTTTTTTTTTTTTGAGACAGAGTTTCACTCTTGTTGCCTAGGCTGCAGTGCAACGGCACAACCTCGGCTCACCGCAACCTCCGCCCCCTAGGTTCAAGCAATTCTCCCGCCTCAGCCTCCCCAGTAGCTGGGATTACAGGTGTGCACCACCACTCCTGGCTAATTTTGTATTTTTAGTAAAGATGGGGTTTTTCCATTTTGCTCAGGCTGGTCTTGAACTACTGACCTCAGGTGATCCGCCTGCCTCGGCCTCCCAAAGTGCTGGGATTATAGGCATGAGCCACTGCCCTCGGCCTGGCCCAGACTATTTAGACTAAGCTGATTTCTATAATCCATTTGTTATGAAACCTCTATATTTCGTGTATACACTTATGTATCCATGATTAAAGTTAACCTTTGTTTCTTATGTCAATTAAGATAAAACTCAACTGTCAATAAATTATAAATACAACAAAGAATAAAGCAAACAGGATTTCTTGGTTAGTGATTTGTTTTAACTTTTATTCTTTCTTTACATAACGAGATGTCTAAAGCTAGAGCTAAGCAGCCCAAGGCCAGTGAAGATGCTCCATGATTATGCCAGGAATGCAATAGATAATTAAGAGGTGATACAGCCATTCAAAGAAGCAGCTAAATGGGGATAGAGCATGAATTGTGTCTTATAAGCAACAGCAGTCATAATCATTTATTGAGAATACGCCTTTTAATAGGGCATTATGCAATGCTTTACATATATTACATCCATTAATATTTATAACAATAATAAAAAGCTCTAAGAAAGAAGCATTATGATGATGATTCTCATTTACACATAAAGAAATGCACCCAAGAAGAAGCTTCAATGTCTAGAGTAGATAGTAGTATGTCAGGTAGATTATGAAAAAGTGGCAGATACAGTATCAGACATAATCTCTTGCGGAGTTAGGAGACATAAGTTAAATAATGTATAATCAGAATCCAAATTACAAGTTACCAAACAACAGCAGCCAAGACAGAGAAAGTGAAGTACAGACTGTGAAAGCTGAGTCACTACAAAGTTGCTAGTGAACCAATGAGGGGCTTAGCCTCCAGCTTGCTCTGAGAAGCTGCCTGAACTGGGTACATGTAGGAGGAATCTTGATGTAGCGTTAATCAGTGAGACTTTCCTCTCACATATAAATTCTATCTGGATAGGCTATGGGGGAGGTGATGACAATGACACAT